>NC_000001.11:66523531-66826562 GCF_000001405.40 Homo sapiens | reverse complement strand
ACTTTGGGAGGCTGAGGCGGGAGGATCACTTGAGGTCAAGAGTTCAAGACCAGCCTGGCCAACATGGCAAAACCCCATCTCTACCAAAATACAAAAACTAGCCAGGTGTGGTGGCATGCACCTGTAGTTCCAGCTACTTGGAAGCCTGAAACAGGAGAATCATTTCAACCCAAGAGGCAGAGGTTGCAGTGAGCCAAGATTGCGCCAGTGTACTCCAACCTGGGCAACACAGTGAGACTCTGTCTCAAAAAAAAAAGACTAAAGAAAGTGGTTTACCTTACTCATCTCCTCAAACTTTTATAGGACGATATAGGATATAATAGCTATCTTGAGTTCTTATTCATTGCCTGGTTTAGAGAAACATACACAGGCATTTTTACATTTTTAACTAAAAATTTTCTACAGTAGAAAAAAGGGACAAAGTAATTATTTTTGCAACATTTACTTATGCTCTTACCTTGTTTCAAAAATATTCAGAGGGGTATGAACTTAATTAAAATTTTTGATTTAAGATATTACACCAAAGTTATTAGAGGATTGTCTAAATTAATTTATTCTTCCTAATATGAAAACTTAATACAATGTTGAAATAAAAACGTTAATGGTTCTGCTTTTTCAGTTGGAAATTATAATATATCTTTATGCTAGTTTTTAGCAAAAGCAAGAAAATAAATTCTTGTTTGAAAGAAATGATGTCAAATTCAATGGATTTATTCTTTATGAGAAAATTTTTTGCTAGGAATTGATAATTCAGTAACTTTAAAATTTTGTCCTGGTTTGTTTTACAAAACAGTATGAACCAAGGATTACAAATCAAGGATTACAAGTATGAGGTGACTAATGTATAAAGTGGCTTCTTAAATAATCCCACCTCTGATTGTAATTTTTCTGGAAAAACTGTAATTCCCAGGACAACACATTTTTAAAAGAAGTATGCAAACTTGCTACTTGTCTTCTTTTGAGGACACTAGGTAGATTGCTTTAGATGACGAAGACTAGGAAAACTTCTTGTTCAAAATGTACTTGTACGTTCCAGAGGTTCATTTGGATAAAAACATTATTCTGTTAAAAGACAGTTATTAGGCCGTGCGCGGTGGCTCACGCCTGTAATCCCAGCACTTTGGGAGGCCGAGGCGGGTGGATCATGAGGTCAGGAGATCGAGACCATCCTGGCTAACAAGGTGAAACCCCGTCTCTACTAAAAATACAAAAAAAATTAGCCGGGCGCGGTGGCGGGCGCCTGTAGTCCCAGCTACTCGGGAGGCTGAGGCAGGAGAATGGCGTGAACCCGGGAAGCGGAGCTTGCAGTGAGCCGAGATTGCGCCACTGCAGTCCGCAGTCCCGCCTGGGCGACAGAGCGAGACTCCGTCTCAAAAAAAAAAAAAAAAAAAAAAAAGACAGTTATTATTTAAGAAGTTGTGTTAGGGATCTCCAGAGAAACAGAACCAATAAGATGTATGTATCTACTTAGATCTATTGTTGTCTCTGTCTCTATATATTCCTATCTTTATATCTATCTCTTGAGAGAGACATTTATTTTAAGGAGTGGGTCCTATCAAGTATGAAATCTGCAGTGCAGGCTGGCGGGCTGGAATTTCCAGCAGGAGTCATGTTGCAATCTTGAGTAGAAAGGCATTCTGCAGGTAGAATTTTATTCCACTTTGGTGGATATCATTCTTTTCTTTTAAGGCCTTCAACTAATTGTATGAAGCCTACCCACATTATGGAGGGTAATCAGCTTTATTCAAATTCTAGTGAATTATCCTTAAGCTGATAAGCAACTTCAGCAAACTCTCAGGATACAAAATCAATGTACAAAAATCACAAGCATTCTTATACACCAACAACAGACAAACAGAGAGCCAAATCATGAGTGAATTCCCATTCACAATTGCTTCAAAGAGAATAAAATACCTAGGAATCCAACTTACAAGGGATGTGAAGGACCTCTTCAAGGAGAACTACAAACCACTGCTCAAGGAAATAAAAGAGGATACAAACAAATGGAAGAACATTCCATGCTCATGGGTAGGAAGAATCAATATCGAGAAAATGGCCATACTGCCCAAGGTAATTTACAGATTCAATGCCATCCCCATCAAGCTACCAATGACTTTCTTCACAGAATTGGAAAAACTACTTTAAAGTTCGTATGGAACCAAAAAAGAGCCCGCATCGCCAAGTCAATCCTAAGCCAAAAGAACAAAGCTGGAGGCATCACACTACTTGACTTCAAACTATACTACAAGGCTACAGTAACCAAAACAGCATGGTACTGCTACCAAAACAGAGATATAGATCAATGGAACAGAACAGAGCCCTCAGAAATAATGCCGCATATCTACAACTATCTGATCTTTGACAAACCTGAGAAAAACAAGCAATGGGGAAAGGATTCCCTATTTAATAAATGGTGCTGGGAAAACTGGCTAGCCATATGTAGAAAGCTGAAACTGGATCCCTTCCTTACACCTTATACAAAAATCAATTCAAGATGGATTAAAGACTTAAACGTTAGACCTAAAACCATAAAAACCCTAGAAGAAAACCTAGGCATTACCATTCAGGACATAGGCATGGGCAAGGACTTCATGTCTAAAACACCAAAAGCAATGGCAACTAAAGACAAAATTGACAAATGGGATCTAATTAAACTAAAGAGCTTCTGCACAGCAAAAGAAACTACCATCAGAGTGAACAGACAACCTACAAAATGGGAGAAAATTTTCACAACCTACTCATCTGACAAAGGGCTAATATCCGGAATCTACAATGAACTCAAACAAATTTACAAGAAAAAAACAAACAACCCCATCAAAAAGTGGGCGAAGGACATGAACAGACACTTCTCAAAAGAAGACATTTATGCAGCCAAAAAACACATGAAAAAATGCTCATCATCACTGGCCATCAGAGAAATGCAAATCAAAACCACAATGAGATACCATCTCACACCAGTTAGAATGGCAGTCATTAAAAAGTCAGGAAACAACAGGTGCTGGAGAGGATGTGGAGAAATAGGAACACTTTTACACTGTTGGTGGGACTGTAAACTAGTTCAACCATTGTGGAAGTCAGTGTGGCGATTCCTCAGGGATCTAGAACTAGAAATACCATTTGACCCAGCCATCCCATTACTGGGTATATACCTAAAGGACTATAAATCATGTTGCTATAAAGACACATGCACACGCATGTTTATTGCGGCATTATTCACAATAGCAAAGACTTGGAACCAACCCAAATGTCCAACGACGATAGACTGGATTAAGAAAATGTGGCACATATACACCATGGAATACTATGCAGCCATAAAAAATGATGAGTTCATGTCCTTTGTAGGGACATGGATGAAATTGGAAATCATCATTCTCAGCAAACTATCGCAAGAACAAAAAACCAAACACCGCATATTGTCACTCGTAGGTGGGAACTGAACAATGAGAACACATGGACACGGGAAGGGGAACATCACACTCTGGGGACTGTTGTGGGGTGGGGGGAGTGGGGAGGGATAGCATTGGGAGATACACTTAATGCTAGATGACGAGTTAGTGGGTGCAGCGCACCAGCATGGCACAGGTATACCTATGTAACAAACCTGCACATTGTGCACATGTACCCTAAAACTTAAAATATAATAATAATAAATAAATAAATAACAAAAAAAACAAATTCTAGTGAATTAAATGTTATTGTATTTGAAAAAAATATCTTTACAATAGACTGATGTTTGACCAAACCTCTGGGTACCATAGCCTAGCTAAGTGGACACACAAAATTAACCATCACAGAAGTTTAAATTTATGAGTTCACATCTTAATTGTGAAGTACTTTAATTTACCTGGTTGAAATTAGTTCATTGAAGAAATGAAGGTTTTGATTGAGTAAGGAGTGAGGAGCAGTTATTTTGAGTTTGGAAACACTTAAATAGGCTTATGGTTTTTGTTACATTTAATTTAAAAAATGTCAAATTTTTCTTTGTCTATTTAAAAGACCATATTAATATAACAATTGAATTTACAAATAAAATATTTCATTACAGTTTGGACCCTCTGATTGTGAATACTGCTAACCCTGGAATCAAGTTCACAACCATTCTCTTTGCCAAACAAACAGATTGCCTTCTGGTAGGAGACAGTGATGGACAGGTTTCTGTGTATGAACTGAGAAATATGCCTACTGTTTTGGAAACTGGCCGGGTAAGACTCAAGAGTAAAAAAATTTGTGTCATTTTATTAGTCTATTCAGTTATACTTTTGTAGCATGCAAAGGATTTACATTTCTCAATATCTTAGGTGTAATATAATAAAAGAACATAAATTCCAGGAGTTGCTAACTTCTATACATGGTGCCTACTAGGGTTATTTTTTTTTTTTCAGCCTCGTCTTATTTATCTGTAAAAGATAATGAGAATAATAATGTTGGTGAGCAAAATAATTGTAAATATTATATGGGATAACCTAAAATTGTGCCTAGTATGTAATTGGGACTTAATAATTCTTAAAGATATTCAAAGAAGTTTACATCATGTATTAAAAGATTGTTACATAAAATAATTCTATTTTTAGATATTTTCCAATGTTCCTGAAATGGGCATTTATTTCTGTTGGATTAGCATTATCATATTCTCTTATTCCACGTTCTTCAAATACCCAAGTTTTGTGTCGAACTTTGACAGACAACTCAGTGTCAATAGATGCCTATTATTTAAAAAAAGTTTTCAATTTAAAATTTTCATTTTTTCTCTATTTCTTATGTTTAGATTGTTATTATAAACAATAATCTGGTAAATATTAGCACAAATATGATAAATATGTTAAAATATTAAAAATATGCACAAATCAATATGAAAAAACACCAAGACTTAAATAAAAAAATGGGCAATGGTCAGGAACAGGTCATTCACAAAAAATGACTAGTAAATATGTTTTAAAATCCAACCTCACTAATAATTTAAAAGATAAAATATTATTAAATTCTAATAGCATTCTCACATATCAGATTTACAAGGTTTATTTAAAAATAATTTTTTAATAAGACTACTCTGTACTGGCAAACATTTGATGAGTCCTCTCATACTGGTGGTTGGAATAGAAATCGGTATAACTTTTTGGAAGCAATTTGACAATCTGAATCAAGACTGTTAGAAATGTTTAGAGAAGGCTGGGCACGGTGGCTTATACCTGTAATCCCAGCACTTTTGGAGACCGAGGCAGGTGCATCACTTGAGGTCAGGAGTTCAAGAGCAGCCTGGCCAATATGGTGAAACTCTGTCTCTACTAAAAATACAAAAATTAGCTGGGTGTAGTGGCGGGTGCCTGTAGTCCCAGGTACTCAGGAGGCTGAGGCACGAGAATCGTTTGAACCTGGGAGAGGGAGGTTGCAGTAAGCTGAGATGGCGCCACTGCACTCCAGCCTGGGCAACAGAGCAAACTTCTGACTCAAAAAAAAAAAAAAAAAAAAAAAAAGAGAAATGTTTAGAGAATATTGATTCCTTTTAACTAGTAATTCCACTTCTGAGACTAGCCTATAGAAATGTTTATAAATTTAATAAAATAAATTAACTATAGCATTACTCATGAGATGATAAGAAAAGAAAAGGAAAAGGAAAACAGAACAACATAAATATCCAACAAGAAGGAAATGTGGCCAGGGAAATCAGATGATTGATTAGATCTGGGTCACATGTAGGAGGTAGAGTTCTGTCCCAACCATACAGACTACAAATGTTAAATAAGTAAATAAATAAAATAATAAAATGCTTATCATTTCCCCAGCCTAAAATTCACAGGGCTTATTTCTTTACTTACTTCAAATCTTTGCTCAAGTGTCACTTTCTCAGTGAAGTCTTTACTGATCATCTTATTTAAAATTGCAACCTCTACTATCTTTCACATTCCCTATTCAATACTCTTTCATGACTTATTGTTTAAATAACATTTACCACCTTTGAATATACATAAACTTGCTTATGCATTTTATATTTATTTATATATAAATTTATGTATGCATTATAACATAATTTATTTATATATTTTGTTAATTGCCTGTGTCCCACACCTAGAATGTTAACTCTATGAAAACAGTGTTTTTTGTCTCTTTTTTCTGGGTTGTATTGCCATGGGCTAGTATAGTGTCTGGCTTATAGTAGTTATTCAATAAATGCTTGTTGAATAAATATGCATTGAAAAACTAGAGAAAAAATTAACATGCTTTGTATTACAATTATTAGTTATTAGTGGTGGAGTCATGGATAAATTTTAGTTTTTCTTTTTACTTACCTGTTTTCCATATCATCTGTATTTTTTTTTGCAAAATGCATTGGTTTTCTTACATAGTAATTTTAGTCTACTCTGAGGAATGTAATCCTAATGGCTTTTTCATGATATTAAACATGTTTTCATTTCTCACACATTTATTGAGTATCAGATATTTTAACAGGAACTGGGATATTTATCTCCACATTGAAACTTGCCTAAGATACACAACTCAATGACCAAAAGAAATTAAAAGAAAATTCCATTCTTATTCAAATGTCTTAAAATGTTTAAGTGAATCCAAATACATAGTTTATAGTAATCTTTTTTTCTTCTTTTGTCCATAAGCCTCCAATTCTAAATGTAGCCTCAAAGCCTAAATTCATCTTTTTTAAAAAAAAAGTCTCTATGATTCTCTTAGTCCATCTCACATGAGCTCTAAGAACTTGCCCACAAACTCTGAATTTGCGGTGGTTGGGAGTGGGAATTGAGTGGTTTGAGTTGTTTGAAAATTTTTGTTATTGTGTGTTGGAGATAGTGGTGGAAGAGAAATCTGTGAGTATTGACATGTTGATTCTTTTCTTTTCATCAAATGTATATACGTATTTGTGTGTGTATATTATATATATATATAAAACCTGTCAAGTGTGACAATAATCTATCAATATAAGTTGCAGTATTTCGTACACTTATTTTTCTTACTAGTATGAGCCCCTTGGAAACATATATGTAAGTGTCTAGCGCAGTACTAGCACATAATGGGCATTCAGTGAATACTGAATGACTATCTGAATGAACAAACACACAAGCAAAAGACATGGTTTCTAAGAAAGGGACAATAGATATTCAAGAAACTATAATCAAGTCATAAAGAACAGAAATAATGAACTACTATAGAATCACAGAGCAGGAGAATAATTGACTTTTGGAAGGTGAATGGGAAGAGGAAAAGGAAAATAAGAGAATGCTTTTGTGAAGGTTTTCACAAAGGAGATTAAATTTCAGCTATGCTTGGAGGTTTAGGATTTTTCCTTGCAGATAAGGAAAAATTGGAATTGTTATTCCTGACTGAGGGAAAATCTCGAGCAAAGATAAGGAATTGGAAAGGCTCATGTCATCTTAAGGAACTAATAAGTTGACTTTTTTGACTGGTAAGGAAGTTGCTTGAGAGAAAAGTGGCAAAGGGGCCAGTATAAGAGTAATTTAATAATTTATATACTGGTAATAGAAATTAAAATAGCCTCTTCAGAAAGCAATGAAATAAAATGGAAAATTCAAATACCATGCAAGCCATAGAGAATCACATCTTACACATGTACAATAGGAGACATGTATAAGGAAGTATCAATGTGAGGTGTTTTTAACAATTTATTTCTTATTTCTTTTTTTGAGATGGAGTCTCACTCTTGTCGCCCAGGCTGGAATGCAGTGGCACGATCTTGGCTCACTGCAACCTCTGCCTCCCAGGTTCAAGCAATTCTACTGCCTCAGCCTCCTCAGTAGCTGTGATTACAGGCACCCACCACCACGCCTGGCTAATTTTTGTACTTTTTTAGTAGAGACAGGGTTTCGCCATGGCTGGTCTCGAACTCCTGACCTCAGGTGATCCGCCCACCTCGGCCTCCCAAAGTGCTGGGATTACAGGCGTGAGCCACCGCACCTGGCCAATTTATTTCTTATTTCTAATGTTCTCTACAGTAGCCTTTATATGTACAAAAGATTACTCAGTCTACTTTGATTTTAAAAATTCATATTCAAATGATATAAGATTTACAAAAAACGAACAGTTCATCTTAAGTTCTTACATTTAGATTATATATTTTGTTATTCTCTTTTTAAGTCTAGCAGATTTTAATACATGCTAAGTGAGTTTTTGCAATTTAATTAAATTTTCTTAAATATTTTAAATCTCATTTATAAATTTAATATATTGGACTTTTAAGTACTTCAATTTTCTTATGGACAAACAAGTCTCAGATACTTAAGGAATTCTTAGTAATTTCATAAATTAAAAATTTTAAATGTGATGAATACTATATTTTCTTAAATATTCCAATGCTGTTTACAAATTAGTAAGATTTCAATCCATGATTGTAAGTCTAAATCAATTACCAAAATTACACATTTATATAAGAAGCAAATGTTTCTGTTAGACATTCCAATATGGCAAATTCTCATATATATAATGAATATTTAAAATATTAAAAATATATACATTCCTTAATGCCAAAAATACTAAAGTTATCTGTTTCATTTGCTGCATCATTTTTTACACAGTGTTTATTCTTCTCAGGGTAAAAAAGATTAACATTATAAGTAGTTTTGAAGATTATTTTCACAACTAGCCAAGATGCATCTTGACTTAAGATTTTAGCCAGGGAATGAAGCCTGACATTGTGAACATTTAAGGGGATTTACCTAATTACCTTAGCTGCCAGCCTGAGCCCTGTTTTACTGTTGATTTGTCAATGCTCCAGTGCATTTGTCTCCCAGTCCATGTCTCCTAAATTGTAGTTACACATTACCTAAGTCCTCCATCATCTCACAGAAGTCTGCAACCTTGCCCATGTTGCTGGATCACTTGATTGACTTCAATTCATTGATTTACTGTATCATTAAATTCTAAATTATTACAGTTTTCCTATGCAGTAGGATTACAACTTTTGTAGATGTTTAAATGCCATCTGATTAGATGAGATTCTATCCGTTTTTTTTTTTCTTTTTTTCTTTTAGAAAAGGTCTCACTCTTTTGCCTAGGCTGGAGTGTAGTGGCCTGATCTTGGCTCACTGCAGCCTCAAACTCTTGGGATCAAGCAATTGTCCCACCTCAGCCTCCCAAGTAGCTGGGACTACAGGTGCATACCATAATGCCCAACTAATTTTTGTATATTTTGTAGAGATGGGGTTTTGCCGTGTTATCCAGACTCATCTCGAACTCCTGGACTCAAGTGATTTGCCCACCTAAGCGTCCTCAAGTGCTGGGATTACAGGCATGAGCCACCAGGCCTAGCCCAGATTCTGTACATCTTTAGGGCTTTGTTCAACTCATGGGTAATGGTGTGAAAAACATGCTAATGAGAAAACAATGTTTATAGTAGCCTTGTTTGTATACTGACAAATTGAAAACAACCCAAATGATGATCAGTGGAAGACTGGATAGATAAAATATGACATTTTCACATGTGTAATTACAGTACAGAGATTTAAATGACCTATATCTTAATGTGTTAATATGACAAATTTTGAATACATTTAAAAAACAGTGTTGAGTGATAAAAGCAAATTTCCACAAAGTAAGTACAATATGTTATAATATATGTAAGTATTATTTAAACACAAAAATAAAAACATATTTTTAGTAGACACATTTATAGTTGGTAAAAGTATAAAATATAGACTGGAATATAGAAGAAAAATACTTAATTTTTGTGTTTGGATTTGAATTGGTTATGCAATCTTTTAATTTGAACAGTATGCTCTACAAGCAGAAAGCTAAGCTTAGAGAATCTGAACATTTTTGGCAAACCTGTGTGTGTGTGTGTGTGTGTGTGTGTGTGTGTGTGTGTGTGTGTGTGATTTCAAGGCTGGTAAGAATAATTTTCTTAACAAATCAATTTCATATTGTTAGTAAATAAATATAATTTTTGGATACAAATATGTTTTTCATGTTTTTGGTCACTATATTTGAAAGGCTTAGGGTTATATTTTTTGGGAGATTAAACAACAACAAAAAACCATTAATTAGTTTTTTTGTTACTTACAGCCAAATGTTAATGATATACCTTTTCTTTCTTCGCTTATGGAGAATTATAGTCATAATAATAATTTGAAGTTTCAAAGTAATGTCAAAAACATTATTTCCTACCAAGATATCTTGTCAAGTAACATTATGACCTATAATTTTTTCATTAATTTTAACCAAGAGTGAATCAAAATTTTGGAAGCCTTATGATTTCATTCTATATGAAAGATGTGCACCAAATTTATGATAAAGGCTGCCCCCGGGACGTGAGGGAAAGGGAAGAACAGTATTAGGAGGTATACAAAGGAAACTATCTTTTATCAGTGCCTTTCAGGACTCTGGTTAGTATCACTTTTTCTAATTGCTACTTTTAATTTTTTTAACTTTTAATCTTTAAAATTTATTTTAATTTTTTGTACAGACAGGGACTTGTTAATGTTGCCCGGGCTGGTCATAAACCCCTGGCCTCAAGTAATCTTCATATCTTGGCCTTCCAAAGCACTGGTGTTACAGGTGTGAGCCACCATGCCTGGCCCTCTGGAGGTATTAAGTGACATGATTTCTGAAACTCTGGCCCCTTCCCGATGACAGCAAGGACCAGAATACTTTTGTGGTAGGATATGGCCAAAGGTTGGCTCCAGCCCTGTCCTACCAGCTTAGGGTTCATGGTTAGGGGTAACACCAGCCTAACGTCTGGCATGAACAGGAGACTGGGATCCAAGGCTTCCAATTGTAACTTTATGATGTAGCTAACTGTTGGCAGGAGTTACCACTGCATTAACATTCATGACTGGGGAGGCACCAGCTCTTCTACTGGCATGATGAGGATTGCTGGTGGTCTATGTCTTGAGCTGTAGAGAATTATGGTTTAAGCCCTTGGGAGAAGTCAGTTTCAATGGAGAGTTACAGAAGCAACTCCTTTTCTGCAGGCAGCCTGTAGAGAATCACTCCTGGATACTATTTTTACTATTATGGTTCATTATACAAATGTTTACCATGTTTTTCTCTGTGTTCTTGCTGTTTACATTTTTCCAAATTGAAGGAAAAATAAAAAGATAACTGAAATATTCAAAAAAGAGTTTTAGAAACACGAATCTGTAATATATGTAAGAAATTAATGCTGATAGACACTGAAGGCAGAAAAAATAAACCATTGATTTATTATTCAACAAGTATTAATATTTACTGAGTATTTACTATGTGACGGGGTCTCAGGATACAACATTGAACAAATTTCAACAAGTATTAGTATTTACTGAATATTTACTATGTGACACGGTCTAAGGATACAACATTGAACAAATTTTTATAGTGACCTCTTACATTTGCCCAAGTGAGAAACTGAAGTAGAAAGAGATGAGTTTGAGAAACATATTAAGGTTAGAATTGATGGACCTGGCAACTGATTTGGTGTGCATGGCTTGAATGATGGGGAAGTGCCAAAGATAGCATAGTACAGGCTAAAAAATAGGAACTGACTTATGTCACATTATCTAAAGATTTCAATGATTTTCTCAAGATTACATTTACTATGTGATAGAGAAACTCTTCTGCTTCCAGCTCCTATCTTTTCACTATACTGTCTTGCTTAAAAACTCACCTCCCATCTTTGATTTTCATCCTCTTATATATGATCATTTTACCCATTTTAGTGCAAATATCAGTACCATTAAATGAAAAATAACAAAACCCACATGGAAATTGAGAAGTTCTACTCTCTAAGTCAAACATTAATAGATCAGGAAAGAATTTAAGATATCAGTAAGTTTAACAGGTATTTTATAAATAAGAAAGTTTAGGCTTAAGCATTAAGGTTAAATAGGAGCTGCCAAAATTTTCTTCTTACTGAATCTTTATAAAATCGTTTATCGGAATTCATTAAAAGAGTCTTTTGGCCAGGCGCGGTGGCTCACGCATGTAATCCCAGCACTTTGGGAGGCCAAGGTGGGCGAATCATGAGGTCAGGAGATCGAGACCATCCTAGCTAACACAGTGAAACCGTATCTCTACTAAAAATACAAAAAATTAGCTGGGCGTGGTGGCACGTGCCTGTAGTCCCAGCCACTCAGGAGGCTGAGGCAGGAGAATTGCTTGAACCCAGGAGGCGGAGGTTACAGTGAGCCGAGATTGCACCACTGCACTCCAGCCTGGCGACAGAGCAAGACTCTGTCTCAAAAAAAAAAGAGCCTTTCATGGAAAGAGTAGGTTTATACTAGGAAATAACCATTACTGTTTAAACTTACCTTTGCTTGTTTCCCTTTTACAATCTTATTGGATATGTGTATCACTAACTTATAAATTTTAAATGGCATTTTAAAGACTACTTTACCTTTTAATTTGCATTTTATTGCATTGTAATTGTGTGACTTTTTTTTTTCAGGGAGATATAATGGATACTTTGCTTGGATCCAAGTCAAACCAATCAGCATAATTCATCATTCCTAATATTTTTCTTGTAGTTGTTTTAAAAAAGGAATTAACATCCAATATTCTGTATTACATACTGTACACCAGATTTTGATTTCAGAAAACAATATTTGATGTATAACTTCCACTTAATTTAAATTTAATAAACTTTTATTTCAGAGATATTTGATTAGTTTACAATCTAAGAGTTATTCTTAAGAGTTTCAGTGGAATTTTCTTAATTTTTCTAAAGATATTCCTACTCTCTTGATCATATTCTAAGTACATATGAGTACATGTACATTCTTATACAATGTCTAAATGGGTTAGAAAATTATTATACCTATAGAAGCGAAACTTGGAAATTAATAGAATCACTTAAACCAAAATCTTTATAAGACACAATTCTATTGATTTTAAAGCTTCTGCTTTCCAGGCTCTGTTTTCCAGAGTTTATAATTACGTAGTTTTTAGTAGATGAAAATAATGGATTCTTGTACCTAACATTTTATCCTCTTAGATCTAAGAGCCGAAGCTATAGAACTTTGTTAGACTATTTGGCAAGCAAAATATATGACAGTAAATATCAGAATTTTATGGTTTGACCAGCGCTTATCACATTCCCAATTCAGTGAGAAAAATTCATCTGGGACACAACAGGGTACTCTTCTCTGTTTGCCCAGAATCAGCTCTGGATTTTAAGCCCAGACTTCAGTGGACCCAGATAGAAAATATAAAGTCTCTGATCTATAGGCCACATCAGGATGTTATTTTATGAAGAGTTCTAGAGCAAGGTTGCGGAAATCGGGGTGGAGATGGGGAGCAGTGACTCCTCCAAATATTCATTGCTAACAGGCCATTCTATGCAGTTTGTTTTAACAAATCCTGGGTTAAACTGAGGCCACAGGACATGATGGGCTGTTCTATAAAGCATTCTAAGTGGAGAGGAGACGATAGGGCATATGAAATTCACTAAACTCTCTGGAAAAAAAATATGTATATATTAAAAACCAAGACTGGAATCAGTGCAACAGTGGGAACTACCTTTTACAAGTATCCATTGCTTCATAAACTCCATTTGTTTGGACCAATCCCTTAAACAAAAGCAAGGCAAATTTTACATGGATTTAGAGCCTAGGTCAGGTTATTAGGATTATAAATTTTCCACTGGTATGTCATTGTGATTATCTTTGTTTTTGTCTTTCTGAAAGATTGGATTTTCTATAACACCTTGTGTAAGAAAATAAAAAACTTGATCTAACTGAAAAAATGTGTTCCTTTTTATTATGTACTTTTGATCTTTACAAATTATTCACATATTTTCCCCATTGTTCTTCAAGCCTGCGTATAAAATAAAGCTATTTTTTTTGGATCCTGGGAAACTGATCCTAAAGCACTGAACCTATTTTATTCTACCCTTCTCATCCCTGCTTCTGCAGCCTTAAGTGATTTTCCCATACTTAATAGGTTAGCATCAAATTTTTAGTCTAAGATCTTTCCTCCTGGGGACTTCAGAAGGAATTATTTTGCTTGCTTTATAGACTGGCTTTGAATCTTTACTAGTAAACTCTGTTTACCACACATTTTTAAGAATTGGGTAAGAATTCTGTCCTGCCATTAGCCATCTTATGTTATCCTTAAACACACACACACACACACACACACACACACACACACACACACAGACACACACACACACACACCCTAGTGTGCTGGTTAGGGATCTAAGGAGAGAGTGGTGACTGTGCTAACTTTAGGCTTCTATTTTGTGCTAGGTATTCATTACTTCATTTGGTCATTTTCTACCAGGCATCTTTCATCTAGAACTTACATTATTGTTGTCTGATAGTAAATTGTTAGCTGCTCTTCCAGTTGAGGCAGAAAAGGAAGATTGTATTCACTACTATATAATTGTGTATCATATTTAGTGTGTTCACTTGGTTCACCTCTATGTAGTTACATATAATTATAAGTGAGAAAATGGAACACTTAGTATTTGCCATTTTATCTCAGGAGGAGTCTCTTTAAAAGAAAATATTGAATTTTACTCTGAATAGATTTAGTTATTAACATACTAATTATGCACATGAAAGTTCTTTACCGTTTGCCAAACACTTTCACATCCATTTTCCCAATATATCATCACAGCAATCCTATGAGACTAATGGGGCATGTAGTTGTAATATTATCATAATCTCTATTTTCCAGATGTTATAATTAAGCCTTGAAGAGGTGATACAATATGCCATAGACCATACAACTTATAACTGGTCAAGCTTGAACTCAAGTCCAAAGCTCTGACCAGTTCTTATACACTTTCCATTTTGGCATAATAAATGGTTGATGCCTTATATAGTTTGCTGAGGCCTCATACACCAAAATGCAAGTGCGTATAATCTATAATTAAGATTTTATCCATAAATGATAATGCTTGTAGATTTGTTTTTTTTTTCCATGTTCTCCTGCTGAGAGGCCTTGGCACGTGTATCCTTTCTGTTGAGAACACCCTCCTCCCCACTCCTCACTCTCCTTCAAAACATTAACTCTACATGGCTTTCAGATCCCAGTTCCTATCTCATCTCCTCAGAAGAACCCTCTCTAAGCTCCCTCTCATAGGACCTACCACCCAATCAAATTAAATTTGGTTCCTTTGTTAACTGTTCTCAAGTCACCGTGGATTTCCCTTATAGCATTATTTCAGAAATTATTGAGGGATAATATTAAGAGATATATTTTTAATCCTTATTTTTCTTCATTACCTTTCCCTTCTCAAGTTAGTAGCTCTATGTTTATAAGTTGAAGGAGACATATAAAACGACAGTAAATCAAATACATCCATTTTTCTTCTATAAAAGCATAGGACTTAGAAAAGGTATTTGAGACATAGACCAAGTATCTTAAACATAAAGAGAAATGTGAAGTTTCCTCAGGGATGGAAAGGGTAGGGGGATGAGAAAAAGAGGGAGGCCTGTGGATCCTTAGAGCAGAGAAGATCCATGCCCTACTTCTAAAAACCATTGTCCAGGAAGTAGTAAGACCCGTGAGGGACCACAGGAACTCTGAAAACTATTCCTTATGCCATGAGTGATGTGCAACAGCAGCAGCAAAGAACCACTAGAACCGAAGAAGCCAGACAACTGAGGAGGCACCAACTCTTTGATGACAGAAGGGCCTTGGCACACCAGAGTAAGATGCTCTAGTTATGTCCAGGGAAGAGGAAGGAAACCAAGCCCAAGTTGGACTGACATCAACTTGTTTGGATGTTGTTTATTTCTGCCAGCTGAGTGGTATGGAAACTTGGAGTCAAAAATTGAACAGAATTCTAGCAAATATATTTCTTGGATAACTGAGTTTCTAAATGAAGATTTGTACCAGCTGTGCTAAATGTTTATTTGTACAATAATTTGCTTAGTGCCTGTCTCTTTCCTAGACTGTAAGTTCCTTGAGGGTAGGAACTATGTGTTTCACTCACTGCACTATATTTACAACACCTAGAGCAGTGGCTCACAGAGTAGTAATGCAACAAGTATTTATTGAATAAATGAATTATCAAATTAATGGGGAAATGATAGGTTCATGCTTGCCCTTTATCACAAGATGGCATAATATTTTAAATTAAATTTTCTAAAAATCCTAACAAAATATCTTGACCATCACAGAAGGAAAAGAAAACATTTTAAGTGTGGAAAACATATAAAACATAAAATCAGCCTGGAAAGTTGGTTAACACAGTCGTAGTTGTCTTTGGTTCTACAGCAATATAAAATCAGTTTTTCCCTTTAAGACAAAAACTAACCTATGATCCCTTTCTTTTAAAGAGCGAGTATTGCTGCTACTTTGTAAGGCTGTGTTCCTGCCAGCCATTTGGGGAACAATTTATCTCTGATGTAAAAGCACTAGCAAAATGCCTGGTACATGATAGGCACTCAAAAACGGCAGCTCTCATTCTGATTATTCCAGAACCACATCCCCATGTCCTGGTCTGAGAACCTCTTTGCCCTTTGTGGTTGACTGAGTCTTTGCCAAGGCTCCACTCCTCCTGCAGACTATGTTGATGACCTCATTTGTTCCTTCACACAATATTTAGGCTTTTTTTTCTTGTTTGTTTAGGATTTTGTACAATGTCAAATCCACCCTCAAATCCATAGAACATTTACTAGGCTATTAGTCTTCATTTCTTTAGGTTGACATATCCATTTAGTGATAAAACTAAAAGGCTGACAGTTTACATTAAATGAATTCCTGGGTTAAATAGAAAGCATAATGTATCCCTTAACTTGGAACATATAAAACATTGTTATGAATCTTACAAAAAAGGAACACTGCATTTTCTAAATGGGTGAGACATTTATGCAACATCCAGAACAACTAATGAAAAATGTACTTTCACCATGTCTGTATTTTCCTCAAATAAGTCAACTATTAAAAGACATGGTGCCATTATACTAGGAGAACAGAGGATTCCAGGATGTTCTGGCGGTTTTAAATCAGAACTCACTGATAATAATTTTATTGAATTTTCCAATTATTTATTGAGTCTTTATTTCTAAAAGCCTAAAATGACAACAAAAACATAAGAAAGCTGCTGCTCTGTTCATACAAAATAAAGCTTTAAATATAAATTATTATTTTTAAGATACATTTTTAAAAAACATTTTTAGTTGCTCATTTTATTTTATTTTAGGTGTATTTGTTTTGGATTTTCTCCCAGCTTTATTTAAAGTATAATTAATTTACAAATAAAAATTGTATATATTCCAATTGTACATTGTGAAATGATTACCACAATTAAATTAACATCCATCATCACCCTTAGTTACCTTTTTGTGCATGTATGCGTGTATGTGTGTGTGTGTGTGTGTGGTGAGAACACTTAAAATCTGATCTCTTTGTAAATTTCAAGTAAACAATACAGTATTAACTATAGTCATCATACTGCATATTAGATCCCTAGAACCTATTCATCTTCTAAGTGAAAGTTTTCACCCTTTGACCATCTCCCCATTTCCACCATCTTCCAGTCCCTTGCAACCACTGTTCTACCCTACACTTTTATAAATTTGACTTTTTAAAAAAGATTCCACATATGTGAGATAATACAGTGTTTGTCTCTCTGTGTCTGACTTCTTTAACTTAGCACAATGTCCTCCAGATTTATCCATGCTGTCAGAAGTGGCAGAATATCCTCCTTTTCTTATGGCTGAATAATATTTATCTGTGTCTGTGTGTATCACATTTTCTTCATCCATTCATCCACCAGTGGACATTTAGGTTGATTCCATATCTTGGCTATTGTGAATAATGTGTTAATGAACATGGGAGTGCAGATATCTCTTCGACATACTGATTTTATTTCTTTTGGGTATATACCCATAAGTAGAATTGCTGGATTGCATAGTAGTTCTGTTTTTAAATTTTTGAGGACTCTCTATACTATTTTCCATATTAGCTGTACCAGTTTACATTTCTATCAACTGTGTGCAAGGGTTCCCTTTTATCTATATCCTTACCAACATTAGTCTCTTCTCTTTTTGATAATAGCCATCCTAATAAGTGTGAGGTAATATTTTGGTATTGATTTGCATTTTCCTGATGATTAGTGATGTTCAACATTTCATATACCTGTTGGCTATTTTATGCTTTCTTTGAAAAAAATGTCTATTCAGGTCCTTTGCCTATTTTTTATTCAGGTTATTATTATTATTGCTATTAAGTTGTATGTCAGCTGGTCATTTTAATCCTTACTGATAGGGAATTAAAAACATCACTGTAATGAGTGGTAAAAAAGTTTAATCTATAAAATCATGCAAAAACTTTTCTAGATAATGTTATTTCAGTATCCCTTCCACACACATTCTTCATAAGTTAACCAGAGTTAAAAAGTCAAGGGAAAGGAGTTTCAGATGGGGAAAAAGAGAATATGGAACTTCAATATCTGTAAGGCATTTGATATAACTGGACCATTTAGAGTTCGAGGATATCTAAAACCTGAACAAGTAGAGAGAGGCCAAATCATGAAATGTCTTGCAGGCCATATTAGAGAAATTTGGAAATTTTCTTCAGGGAAACTGTTGGGGGGTTTTAGAGATGGGTGATAATCATGAGTTTCAGAAAGATCATTCTGGCAGCAGTATGGAAAATGGATTGATGACAGGGCCAACTGAGAGGCCATTGCAGCAATGCCAATGAAACCTGAGGTCATGGTAGAGGGGATAGAGAGCAGTGGGTGGATCATAGAGAAATTTAGAAGGTAGAACCAAAGAGACTTGGTGATTTAGTGGATGTTTGTGTATGGAAAAGGTTTAGTCAATGGAGTGTGAGAGAAAATGAGGAGTTGTGAATGACTTCTAGGAAAAGCTGGAAGAATCGTCGCATCTTAATGAAGACTCTGTCTAGAAGCATTAAAAATAAGTATTAGCCAACGATGAGCAGCTACTATCTGTGTCAGAAAATAACAAAAATAAATTAGTATTTGCTAATGAATTTATATATAGTGATATCATAATCATAATTATCATCAAATAATTATATGTGATATGCTTTATAATTTATCAGAGCTATAATTAACATTACCGCAATTGATCCTGTGATATTTTTCAATGTAACAAATCAGAAAACCAAATTACAGGTTAAATACATCCTCAAGGTCTCTTAGCTGGGAACTAGAGTAGCAATCCTAAAAGTTTAACATTCTAATACCAAGGTTCTATTTGGTGGCATTCCCACCATTATAATTTCCATCAATGATCAGTCTATTGAAAGTTTCCTTGTGCTAGAGACTCTGATCAGCACTCTTTGGATCATTTAATCCTTACAATTAGCCTAATAAAGTTTGTATTATTATCTCTATTTTACAAATGAAGAAACTGAGATTCAGAGATTTTAAGTATGTCTTAAAATCTAAAGTATTAAGGTCACATAAATATTAAATGGAAGAACTGATATCTGATTTCCAAAATCCAATGCCACAAACAGTATATACAACTCATGCCAACCTATTCCAAACACCATCTGTTAAGTATACTGTCGTCATAGTTCCTTTATAAATGGTAAATAAGTGAGTGATATATTTACTGAATTCATTGTTTGGTTGTTAATTTGGGTTTTGGTACACATTAATGGTAGGCCTTCATATAATCAATCATATTGAAAATGTGGTAATTTATTCCAGTTGTTAAGGCCAAATAACTTATTTTGCTTTGATCTAGAAACTTGAATCATTATAAACGTTCTCTCCATCTGTAACATGTAAATAACTGTAAGATAATTATAATAGTCAGGATAAGCCAGGTTATGTTGTTATAGCGAGCAATCTCCAAATCTCAGTGACTTCAAATGATAAAGGTTTCTTTTTTTTTCTTTTTTTTATTATTATTATTATACTTTAAGTTTTAGGGTACATGTGCACATTGTGCAGGTTAGTTACATATGTATACATGTGCCATGCTGGTGCGCTGCACCCACCAACTCGTCATCTAGCATTAGGTATATCTCCCAATGCTATCCCTCCCCCCTCCCCCCACCCCACAACAGTCCCCAGAGTGTGATGTTCCCCTTCCTGTGTCCATGTGTTCTCATTGTTCAGTTCCCACCTACGAGTGACAATATGCGGTGTTTGGTTTTTTGTTCTTGCGATAGTTTACTGAGAATGATGATTTCCAATTTCATCCATGTCCCTACAAAGGACATGAACTCATCATTTTTTATGGCTGCATAGTATTCCATGGTGTATATGTGCCACATTTTCTTAATCCAGTCTATCATTGTTGGACATTTGGGTTGGTTCCAAGTCTTTGCTATTGTGAATAATGCTGCAGTAAACATACGTGTGCATGTGTCTTTATAGCAGCATGACTTATAGTCCTTTGGGTATATACCCAGTAATGGGATGGCTGGGTCAAATGGTATTTCTAGTTCTAGATCCCTGAGGAATTGCCACACTGACTTCTACAATGGTTGAACTAGTTTACAGTCCCACCAACAGTGTAAAAGTGTTCCTATTTCTCCACATCCTCTCCAGCACCTGTTGTTTCCTGACTTTTTAATGATTGCCATTCTAACTGGTGTGAGATGGTATCTCATTGTGATTTTGATTTGCATTTCTCTGATGGCCAGTGATGATGAGCATTTTTTCATGTGTTTTTTGGCTGCATAAATGTCTTCTTTTGAGAAGTGTCTGTTCATGTCCTTCACCCACTTTTTGATGGGGTTGTTTGTTTTTTTTCTTGTAAATTTGTTTGAGTTCATTGTAGATTCCGGATATTAGCCCTTTGTCAGATGAGTAGGTTGTGAAAATTTTCTCCCATTTTGTAGGTTGCCTGTTCACTCTGATGGTAGTTTCTTTTGCTGTGCAGAAGCTCTTTAGTTTAATTAGATCCCATTTGTCAATTTTGTCTTTAGTTGCCATTGCTTTTGGTGTTTTAGACATGAAGTCCTTGCCCATGCCTATGTCCTGAATGGTAATGCCTAGGTTTTCTTCTAGGGTTTTTATGGTTTTAGGTCTAACGTTTAAGTCTTTAATCCATCTTGAATTGATTTTTGTATAAGGTGTAAGGAAGGGATCCAGTTTCAGCTTTCTACATATGGCTAGCCAGTTTTCCCAGCACCATTTATTAAATAGGGAATCCTTTCCCCATTGCTTGTTTTTCTCAGGTTTGTCAAAGATCAGATAGTTGTAGATATGCGGCATTATTTCTGAGGGCTGGTTTCTTTTCCATTCATATTACATATTCATTACAGATCAGTGGGCAGTTATGCTCCATATTGTTCTGACTCAGTGATTAGGTTCCCACATCAGGAATGTTGTTGGTAACCACAGCCAGGAAGAGGGAGAACTGGAGGATCATACACCGATCCTTAAATTTCAGGCAGAAGTGACATATGTCACATCCACTCACATTTTATTTGCCAAAATATGCCACATGGTGTTGCCCAATTTTAAAGAGCAGAGAAATACAACCCTACCATGTGTCAGGACAGAGGAGAACTAGAGATACGTCTACTCTAGAAATTCACAGCAATCCCAGATGTTAATCAATTTCACAATGGAGTTATTTCCAACATCAAATAAGTTGTGAAAACATTGAATTAAACAAAGTTAAAGAAATTTCATAACTATAAGTCTTCTCTGGGCTCTACTATATTAGTAGGCATTATTAATCTCAAAGAAAGAGACTACTATCATGGAATCCTTTTTAAAAAATATTCAAAGACCATCTGCAAAGACTCATGTTCTGAAGAAAACACTTTAAGAAACAGTACCATAAGACCTTTCTTTATTAGAACTTGTTTGTGGAAGGATGAAAGGAAAGAAGAAGGCAAGGAAAGGATGAAGGAAGGGAGGAAAGAAAAAGACGACAGCAGTGCAAATTTATGGATGGTTTTGAGATTAAGAGTTATACAGAAGAGTCATCCATAGTAGCTAGTCCCAACCAAAAATAATATTTTCTAATCCCTTGTTCATGACATTGTTAATTTATTATTTATTGAATTATATATTATTCTAGGTGCTGTACTTGTGTTAACTCATTTTGCTTCACAATAACATTATAAAACACAGATTATTATCTCCTCATAGATGGAGAAATTAAAACTCAGAGCGGAAAATTACATATTGTGTCTCCTATGTTGAAATCCTAACCCCCAAGGTGATGAAATTAGGAGATGGGGTCTTTGGGAGGTGAATAGGTCATGAAGGCAGGACCCTCATGAATGGGATTGATGACCTTAGAGACCCCAGAGAGCCAGCTTGCCCCATCTTCTGTGAAAGGACACAGAGAGAGGTCCTAGAATCCGGACCATGCTGTCACCTTCATCTTGGACTTCCCAGGCTCCAGAACCGTGAGAAATAAATTTCTGTTGTTATAAGCTACCCAGTCTCTGGTATTTTGTTAGAGCTATCCGAAGGAAACCTGAAATAAGACACATAATAATTGCCACATAGATAGTAAACTGAGTTACAGACCAGAATGAGGAAGAAAAATCACGTCCATCTCCAAATGAAAGGGATTAAGTGCTCCTGTGAGAGGTGCAAAAAAGAAACTGTGGTTACTCAAAAGATGGAAAGATTCCTTTTCAGTTGGTTAGCCTTTCATGGACCTTGAGGTATGTGAAAAAAGTGATGTTTGGGTACCTGAGTGGAAAGCATTAAATGTGATATTGTTTGGATTGTCTTCTGGAGGTAATGGTGAGCCACTGAAGGTTTGTGAGGTGGGAGTAACATAATCAGACAATTATAGCAAGACTGATAATTTCAAGTGCAGAGAAGACTTTTAACAATTAAATCCAACCCTCTCAATATACAAATGGGGAAAATAAGCCCCAAAATTTCAGGCTTCACATCTAGGGCTTTTATTATTGTCATGAGCTTTTTCATCTGGGTAGCTACTTGGCTGTCTAACTTGCCTCCATTAGGTCACAGAATGAGCTCAAGTATTGCCAGCCTTCCATCCCAAACTAAATGAGCCCTAATGAGGTATTAAGAGCTGGTAGAAGAGGGGACTACTTTGCACCTAGGGGCATCAAGTGTGGTGATAGCAGGATCATGCCAGAGTCCATCTGACATCCAAGGTAGGGATCGTCCCTTGGCTGAATATCCCTGGGGTTGTGCAGAAGCCCAATCCATAGCCACTGATGATAGATCTACTGCAGTGCTATGTTAAAACTGGCATTGTCAAGATATGCACTATAAATCTCCAAAGAAGGGAAGAAGTTTGGTAATACATGGCTCAATAGCTGTTATGTTGTGGATGTGCTAAGCATGGTAATACAGACGTCCCTCTGGAGTTGATGAAAGATGCTGATTTTGACCCATCCAAAGATGGAGTAGCTTTCTCTGATGACAGAACCATTTCTGCTTCTTTGGTCCCTTTCTTAGCAAATGACCGCCCTACCTCCCAGTTGAACAAGCCAGAAATCGAGGTATCATATTTGACATCTTTCTCTCCATTGCCCCTGATACCCAGTCAGTACCAAGCCCTTCTATATTTTGAATACACATGTGTCCTATCTCTCTTCCATGGCCTTAGTTTAGGCCACCATCATATCTAAATTATTGAAACAGCCTTTTTCTGTTTTTCCTTTCTCAAGTCTTGCCTTTCTTAATCCATTCTTCACACTACAGCCAAAGAAATGGAGAAAGCAAGACTCTTAGAAATAATTTTTATTTTTTACAGCAAAGAATGCTTTCAATTAGATAACAGATTATTTTGTTGTATTTTCCAGCTTCCCTACAGAAGAACAGTGATTTCACAAGAAGTACAAATGATATGATCATGGCCACAGACTTAGCAATTTTTTTCCAACCAGGAATCACAGACAAGGATTTCACAGAATCAACTGAACCATTATTTGTTCAACTTGCTAAAACCTGAGTCAACAGTTCTTTAAGATCCCAAACTCTGGGATTCTCAGTTTAGGTAAGACCTTTGCAAGAGCTAGTGCTTTCAGAGGTTTTACCAAAAGAGAAATTTCATTATTTAGCTATTTGGGATATGGACTTAGCTTTCTATTATCATAAATACGTGTGTTGAGAAAAGTGTACCTAGGTCATAGGTGAAGGATAACAAGATCCTAGTCAGATAAAATCTTCTGAATTCTGAAGTTATCTTTTCTAGTCTTCTATTCTGATGGTGAGAGGAGAAGCAGCTAATAATTAGTAGCTGTTTTTTTTTGTTTTTGTTTGTTTGTTTGTTTGTTTGTTTTTGTTTTGAGACAGAGTCTCGCTCTGTCGCCCAGGTTGGAGGGCAGTGGCGTGATCTCAGCTCACTGCAAGCTCCACCTCCCGGGTTCATGCCATTCTCCTGCCTCAGCCTCCTGAGTGTCTGGGACTACGGGTGCCCACCACCACGCCTGGCTAATGTTTTGTATTTTTAGTAGAGACAGGGTTTCACCGTGTTAGCCAGGATGATCTCGATCTCCTGACCTCGTGATCCACCTGCCTCGGCCTCCCAAAGTGCTGGGATTACAGGCGTGAGCCACTGCGCCTGGCCTATTAGCTGTTTATTGTACCAAGTGGGACGCATGTTATCACATTAGACCTATGAGGTAGTTACAATCATCAACACTATTTTACAAAGAAGGATGCCTTAAAAACTTGCTTAAGAGTCTAGATCTGGTAAGTAACAGCCAGGCAACAGCAACGGCCAGGATTCAAACTCAGGACATAAGAAATTGCCTACTTAAGTGTGATATCCCATTGTTCTGACATTCATATTGCTTTCAATATTCAAAAAAACCCCTGTGAGATGGGTCTTCCCATTCCAGAGATATGGTTATTGAGGTTCAAAAGGTTTTTTTGTTTACTTGTTTGTTTGTTTGTTTTTTAGAGACACGGTTTCACTGTCACCCAGGCTGGAGTACAGTGGCACTGTCATGGCTCATTGTAACCTTGAACTCCTGGGCTCAAGTATGCCATTGTGCCTGAGTAATTTTTAAATTTTTTGTAGAGATGGAGGTCTCACTATGTTGCCCAGGCTGGTCTTGAACTCCTTGCCTCAAGTGATCCATCTGTGTTGGCCTCCCAAAGTGCTGGGGTTACAGGTGTTAGCCACCAGGCTTTGCCTCAACTCAAAAAGTTTAAAACTTGCCTTATGTCACTCAGTAAGTAGCAAGGCTGAGAGTGAAACTCATTCTTGGCAACTTTCAAAGTCCGTGAGTTTTCCATAATGCCTTCCAAGAGGGCATCTGTTTTTATCATCTCACAGATGCGTTGATGGTATTAAGGAGAGACTGAATAGCTGGCAATACTCATAAAACCGCATTTTCAAAACTTTACTGTGTAACCCTATGTGCTTAGCAAATATTGTAAAAATGAGGTTCTGACCAATGAAATGTCAGGAAAGTTAGTATAAATTGGTCAAGAGAGTGACAGTCACTCCAGAATTTGATTTGACTATATTTACCATATCAGATTCACATTCAGTCCTCAGCAAAATGAAGGGCTCCATTTTCACTCTGTTTTTATTCTCTGTCCTATTTGCCATCTCAGAAGTGCGGAGCAAGGAGTCTGTGAGACTCTGTGGGCTAGAATACATACGGACAGTCATCTATATCTGTGCTAGCTCCAGGTGGAGAAGGCATCAGGAGGGGATCCCTCAAGCTCAGCAAGGTAACAGTAACTCATGTGTCTCCTCTATTTTCCTTTCACATGTCTCTTTTATTTTTTCAAGCTGTGTTTTAAACCATTATTTTATTAAGTGTTTCTCTAAGTACTGTTGAGGCATTTTTTATGTCAATTTAAGGGATTAATTATCAAAATATACTGAATTTGGCTTGGGAAAGTGATGAGCATGCTACCTTTCAAAAAATAACTACCTCATTTTTTAGTCCCCTGCTTGAAATCATTTAATCGCATGACTACTTCAATGGGCTCAGCATCTGTGGAAGGTACTTTGGAGGCTATGGCGAAGCATGTGATTTCAAGGAGCGTGTTGAAGTAGCAAGACTTTCACTCATGAATAATTGTACAATATAATAAGTTAGAATTCCGGCAGTTGTTAAATATGGATGCAAGGAAAGAAGCTGACCTTAATTGAGCACTTTTAAGTGCTGGGAAGTTACATGTGCAACATTTCATTCAGCTTTCTGATAAGGATCCTGGGAAGCAAGCAAAATTACCACCATTTATCATTTTACCAAGAAGAAAATTCTTCTCCCAGCTGGTGAAAATGTGGTTAGGTAGGAAACTGGGTCTATCTGGCTTCAAGAGCCAAGGTCTTTACTAATTCCATACTGAGTCTCGGGTGGGAAAGAGAATGTTACAAAATGTCACCTATTACAAAATGTCACCTATTTTGTAATAGGTGACAGCATCATGGAGGTGGTGGTTACTGACAGAGGCCCTGAAGGATTTGGGGATTATGGAAGGTGGTGGGGAAGCAGGGTGGGAATTCTAGTAGTAGGAATTGTCTGATCAGGATTTTGAAGGAAGAAATGAACCAAATGTCTTTCAGAAACGGTGAAGCGGCTGACTTCACTATATTTCTTTATTATTCAATTCAACTAACTTAAAAATTTGACTGAAATTCTTTCTGTTAATTCCATATTAAAGTATGAGGTAGAATTTATTTAAAATCCTATTTTTAGATTTTTATTTATTTATTTATTTATTTGATTGGAGACAGGGTCTTGCCCTCTCACCCAGGCTGGCACAATCATAGCTCACTGAAGCCTCAAACCCCTGCACTCAAGTGATCCTCACACCTCAGCCTCTTGAGTAGGTAGGACTACAGGTGTGTGCCACCACATCTGGCTAATTTTTAAATATTTTGTAGAGGTGGGGTCTTGCAATGTTGCCCAGGCTGGTCTCAAACTCCTGGCTTCAAGCAATCTTCCGTCTCGGCCTCCCAGAGCACTGGGATTACAGGCATAAGCCACTGGGCATGGCTGAAAATCCTATTTAAAAAATTATTTTTTTAATTGGTAAAAATTATATACATTTATTGTGTACAACATATTGTTTTGAAATAGGTATACATACAATATACATGTGGAATAGCTAAATCAAGCTAATTAACATATGCATTACCTCACATACTTATGTTTTTGTGATGAGGACACTTGAAATCTACTCTTTTAGCAATTTCAGGAATACAATGCATTTTTATTAACTATAGTCACCATGTTGTACAATAGACTTCTTGAAATTATTCCTTCTAATGGAAATTCTGTACTCTTGACCATCTCTTCCCCAACCATCCCCCTCACCCTCACCCTCTGATAACCATCGTTCTCCGCTATACATTTTTGAGTTTGACGTTTTTAGATTCCACATATCAGTGAGATCATGTGGTGTTTGTCTTTCTGTGCCTTGCTTAAGAGTGTATTTTAATAATTGGTTGTATTTGCTATGTTTTATACTAAAAAGTTAAAAAGGAAAAATGTGATTACATAATAAATGTTGCGACTATATGTATGATTGTTAAGGTTTCAGTTTAATTTAAAATGATGTTGGTAATAAAAACCTTTTAGAAAATGACCTAAACTGTTCATCTTTGGGTGGGCTAATGTGTTGAAAAAGCATGTATTTTCCATTTTCAGTACCACTTTAATATTGAAGTTCATATGACTAGTTGCTAACAAAAATTATATGGGTTTTTAATCTTAAGAGAGTAAGCATAATTTACCAGGATTTACAACAATCTCTGTAATAGCAAACCAAAATGCACTATAAAAATACATTTGGGATATCTCTGAAACACATAGGGGAGTGGAATGGATATCTATAAGGCTAGCTCTGTTGGACATCACTGAAATCATACTACTTATTATTCAATCTTTCTCAGATTTTCAGTGTTTTCCCACACATTATTTATCTGATCAATTACTGGTTTACCAACCAGCATCTGTTCACCTAGTTTTTCATGGTGCCTGCTGGTGTGCTAAGGCATTGATAAGTCAATTTGAACTAAATTAAAGTGAGAGAAGCTTATATATGAACTTTGGAAACAACACTTAGGCAAAAACTGTGAATTTCACTTTTTATTTTCAGATATAGAGGTTTAAATCTCCATTTCCTTCTTTACTGATCGAGATTGCAGGGCATACACAGGGTTTTTTTTTGTTTATGTGTTTTTTGTTTATAGCACATAACTAATATTGGAAGCTGCTGGTCATCCAGCAGAGGTAGCGAGTAAAAGAAGTCAAGTCCCGACTAGCTGAGCAACACTGACTGTCACTCCTCATCTTTGCACTCAAGTTTCTGCCTCTGTAAAATGAGGACAGTGGAGATGACTGTGCTCTCCCCAAAATGTCTAATCTCTCTGAAACCAGGCCAACATTTTAAAAAATTATGTGTATGATTCTATTTCATTTTAGGGATCCAGTTCATTTCCCCAGGAGTGGAATGTGGTTGCTGCCTTCTTTGTAGGAGCTGTCTAAGGATGTATTATTTTTTTCTCTTCCATACAGCTGAGACAGGAAACTCCTTCCAGCTCCCACATAAACGTGAGTTTTCTGAGGAAAATCCAGCGCAAAACCTTCCGAAGGTGGATGCCTCAGGGGAAGACCGTCTTTGGGGTGGACAGATGCCCACTGAAGAGCTTTGGAAGTCAAAGAAGCATTCAGTGATGTCAAGACAAGATTTACAAACTTTGTGTTGCACTGATGGCTGTTCCATGACTGATTTGAGTGCTCTTTGCTAAGACAAGAGCAAATACCCAATGGGTGGCAGAGCTTTATCACATGTTTAATTACAGTGTTTTACTGCCTGGTAGAACACTAATATTGTGTTATTAAAATGATGGCTTTTGGGTAGGCAAAACTTCTTTTCTAAAAGGTATAGCTGAGCGGTTGAAACCACAGTGATCTCTATTTTCTCCCTTTGCCAAGGTTAATGAACTGTTCTTTTCAAATTCTACTAATGCTTTGAAATTTCAAATGCTGCGCAAAATTGCAATAAAAATGCTATAAACCAAGCTCACTGTGCTGTTTTCTTTTTAAAAAATTGTAAACAACTTTTAAACAGTAAACCGAAAATGCTGGTGATGGGAAAATCTAAAAATATACATAAAAAATAAACATCAGCTATTATCTCATCATCCAGAAATAACTATTCATTCTTAATGTTTGGGTTACTGTGTATTGTTACTGAAAACTTAAACATTGATTCATAGTGTAAGCCAAAAAATATCTGAGACAGTTCTCAATCAATTTAGAAGTTTATGTTCCTATGGTTAGGGATGTGAACCCAGGAGACAGGTCTGTGTCTTTCTCCAAAGATGAGTTTGAGGGCTTCAATATTTAAAGGGGAAAGAGTGGATATTGGGGAAAGAGGAATAACTTTTTTTTTTGAGATGGAGTCTCGCTCTGTCGCCAGTCTGGAGTGCAGTGGTGCAATCTTGGCTCACTGCAACCTCCACCTCCCAGGTTCAAGTGATTCTCCTGCCCCAGCCTCTCGAGTAGTTGGGACCACCATCACACCCAGCTAATTTTTTCATTTTTAGTAGAGACGGGGTTTCACCATATTGGCCAGGGTGGTCTAGATCTCTTGACTTCGTGATCCAACTGCCTCTGACTCCAAAAGTGCTGGGATTACAGGTGTGAGTAACTGCAACCAGCCGAGGAATACTTTTTAAGAGGTGTGGGTAGGCGAGAAGCAAAGGGTTGCATTCTTTTGAGCCTTTGATCAACCATTCACATGTGATAGCGGAGTAGAGAAATAGTCACTTGTGCATTAATCTAGCTCAGTGAATCTGCATTTTTACATAAGATAAACATAGGAGAGAGGAAGCAATCAGACATGCATTTGTCTCAGGTGAGCAGAGGGATGATTTTGAGTTCTGTTCTTTGTCCCACACCTGTGAAGATAAGCTATCAATTTACATTGTCAGAATGAAATTTGACAGAACTATTTCAGGGTAAAGATTTTGGGGCCCACAAAAATTTCCTAGTGGGCAAATTGTGAGGGAGGTATGTAGCTTGTTAAATCTTTGTAGTTATCTTAGTTAGGAATAAAATGAGAGGCAGGTTTGCCTGATGCAGTTCCCAGCTTGACTTTTCCCTTTGGCTTAGTGATTTTTGAGTCCTGAGATTTATTTTCCTGTCACAATAGTCAAATATGAGAATTTAAACAAAGTGCTTTTCTCAAAGTACCAAAATGCTCAATAAATGTTTCCTAATATTATATAGTCCTTCAACATTATATTTGAGAATAGCCGGGGGGCATATATGTATCTACCAGGTCCCATAAACAGCTGAAACCCAGAATATGTTTAAGTAATAAGCTTCTTCCTGTAGTATGGGCCACCTTGGTTTTACCTTTCTACTGCATTCTATTCTCATTCTGGAACTTGTGAAACAAAGACCCAGACAACCAAGTCATTGTTATGCAATTGGATGTCTTCCCAGATAAAATGACAAAAGACCGAGTAAGGATATCACAAAACTATGCTTTTATTTCTAACTCTGACAGCGAACTCCCCCAGTGGGTTGTTACAATAGTTAGAATCTAAAGACACATGCACACGTATGTTTATTGCAGCACTATTCACAATAGCAAAGACTTGGAACCAACCAAAATGTCCATCAATGATAGACTGGATTAAGAAAATGTGGCACATATACACCATGGAATACTATGCAGCCATAAAAAAGGATGAGTTCATGTCCTTTGTAGGGACATGGATGAAGCTGGAAACCATCATTCTCAGCAAACTATGGCAAGGACAAAAAACCAAACTCAGCAAACTATTGCAAGGACAAAAAACCTCATGTTCTCACTCATAGGTGGGAATTGAACAATGAGAACACTTGGACACAGGAAGGGGAACATCACACACCAGGACCTGTCGTGAGGTGGAGGGAGGGGGGAGGGATAGCATTAGGAGATATACTTAATGTAAATGGCGAGTTAATGAGTACAGCACACCAACATGGCACATGTATACATATGTAACAAACCTGCACGTTGTGCACATGTGCCCTAGAACTTAAAGTATAATAATAAAAAAAAAATCTCTGTTCATCTAAGTGCCGCTCTTATTAATACAATAGTCCATATTGGAAATCCATTTACTAAAAACTGGGCACTTAAATTGTGTCAAGGCCTTATGCATGGAATTTAAACACTTTCCTTCACACATTTGTTGCAGGAAACGTATGAGAGTGTGAAAGTACTTTGCCACCATTTTGCAGATGAGGAAACTGAGGCTCAGTAGAAGTAAGTAAATGTGCCCTAAGTCACACAGGTTAGTGGATGGTCTTACTGGATCCAAACTTAGGCTGCTTAGTGATTCAAGGCAGTTATACCAACCCGTACTAGTAGTCAAAATATTCTTTACTACCAGGCACTCTGACTTTTGAAAGCAAGTCAGTTTCACCAACAGTGTAAAAGTGTTCCTATTTCTCCACATCCTCTCCAGCACCTGTTGTTTCCTGACTTTTTAATGATCGCCATTCTAACTGGTGTGAGATGGTATCTCATTGTGGTTTTGATTTGCATTTCTCTGATGGCCAGTGATGCTGAGCATTTTTTCATGTGTCTTTTGGCTGCATAAATGTCTTCTTTTGAGAAGTGTCTGTTCATATCCTTTGCCCACTTTTTGATGGGATTGTTTGTTTTTTTCTTGTAAATTTGTTGGAGTTCATTGTAGAATTAGTTCAACCATTGTGGAAGTCAGTGTGGTGATTCCTTAGGGATCTAGAACTAGAAATACCATTTGACCCAGCCATCCCATTACTGGGTATATACCCAAAGGATTATAAATCATGCTGCTATAAAGACACATGCACATGTATGTTTATTGCAGCACTATTCCCAATAGCAAAGACTTGGAACCAACCAAAATGTCCAACAATGATAGACTGGATTAAGAAAATGTGGCACATATACACCATGGAATACTATGCAGCCATAAAAAAGATGAGTTCATGTCCTTTGTGGGGACATGGATGAAGCTGGAAACCATCATTCTCAGCAAACTATCGCAAGGACAAAAAACCAAACACTGCATGTTCTCACTCATAGGTGGGAATTGAACAATGAGAACACTTGGACACAGGAAGGGGAACATCATACACCGGGGCCTGTTGTGGGGTGGGGGGAGGGGGGAGGGATAGCATTTGGAGATATATCTAATGTTAAATGACGAGTTACTGGGTGCAGCACACCAACATGGCACATGTATACATATGCAACAAACCTGCACATTGTGCACATGTACCCTAAAACTTAAAGTATAATAATAATAAAAAAAGCAAGTCAGTTTCACTGAAGAATATCCTTGATTAAGCAGTAAAAATTACATTAATCTCAACCCTTGAGTACATGTTTTTTCAATATTCTGGGTGATGTAATGGGAAGACTGGATGAAGCATTTCTGCAGCATACTGAAGTATGATGGCTGTCTCAAGGATAAGCATTTATATATTTAAATTGAAAACTTAAAATTTATGTAATTAAATTGTGAGCTGCTTTTTCCATGATGCACTGTTTTTTTCTTTTTTTTTAAAGAAAGAGTGAAAATTTGGTTATTCAGATTTTGGGACTTGAATTGAAATAAGATTTGAAAAGTGAATGAAGTGAAACTTTCACTTCAAGGAAAACAACTGACAGTATTTGTTGCTGATGATAAAATCTAAGTTTTCGAGAAATTTTGGGAAACTCATCCCCTACCATCAGCATCAGTGATGATATTAATGAATTTGATTTTTTGACATTGTGTGTCAACATTCGGAAGATATGCATAACTTAGCAAAACAATATATTCCAAATGATCAATGCATGATATTATAAAATAATGAATGGGTAAAATATCCACTCAAAGCGCAAAATAAAAGTTTTAATCTAACAGTACAAATGATTCATTGATATGACTTCAGATTTACATGGCGATCTAACTATAATAAATAACTGCTTGTTGAGTTTGGGGATATATAAAAAAAGAATTTAAAAACTATCTGAAAACGTTATTAAAATAATCTTCCCTTTCCAAGTAAATATCTATATGAGGCTGGATTTCCTTCATGTGTGTCAACAAATACCACACGCAGCAACAGATCAAATGCAGAAACTGGAATGAGAATCAAGCTGTCTTTACTAAGCCAGCCATTAGATATTTACAAAAATCTGAAACAATGCAAATCTTCTTACCAAATTGTTTTTTTTTTGGTGAAATATAAGTAGTTTTTTGTTGTTGTTGTGATTGCTGCTGTTGTTGTTTTTTTTGGAGATGGAGTCTCACTCTGTTGCCCAGGCTGGAGTGCAGTGGCATGACCTCAGCTCACTGCAACGGGGTTCAAGTGATTCTCCTGCCTCAGCCTCCCTAGTAGCTGGGATTACAGGCATATGCCACAAGGCCTGGCTAATTTTTGTATTTTTAGCAGGGATGGCGTTTAACCATATTGGCCAGGCTGGTCTTGAACTCCTGATCTCAAGTGATCCACCCGCCTTGGCCTCCCAAAGTGCTGGTATTACAGGTATGAGCCATCATGCCTGGCCAAGTTTTTATAAAATATGTTATTTGTGTTAACATGGTGGATTTATTATTTTTAAATGGGTTAATAAATTTAAATTTCTTTTAAATTTCAATGCAATAAATATTCATAGATTCAACCCACATAAACAAAAGTTCTTTGAAGTTCTTAATAATTTTTAAGAGTGCAAAGGAGTTCTGAGACTAAAACATTTGAGGACTGCTATTCTATAATATGTATTGCCACATTTTTTATTACATCAATAGATATTCAGATTGTTTTCAGTATTTGCCATTACAAATAAAGATGCAGTAAACAACTTTCTTCATATATCCTGATGTACTGACACTTATTTCTGTGTCAGTCTATAGCTTACCAGGTTGCTGGGGAAAGCAGTAAATACATATTTGCATTATATTTTTATTATTTATTTACTATATTCTTATTTATATTTATTAGCTATTATAAATGTATTTATATAATTTAAGTACATGGAGAAACAAAGAAGAAAAATGGAACCTTGTCTCTCAATAAATCTTGTAGCCACTTTTTTTGCAGGGGAAAAAAAGAGAATATATGCATAAGGTTAGGAAATGCAAACAGTCCACAGGAGCATAAAATAAATCAAAAGCCTAACTCTCCTTTATTTGGTTCTAAAGTAATAATATAACCCTTATTAAGAGTTTCTTATAACTTCTGCCAGAAGTAAAAATCATATTTATAATGAATTCATGTGGTGTAACTGCAAATACAGCTAGACAGGTCTATCTATCAATCTATCTATCATCTATCTATCTATCTATCATCTAATCATCTATATCTATCTATCTATGTCTATCTATCTATGTAATCTATCTATCTACGTAATCTATCTATCTATGTAATCTATCTAGTGGATCTATCTCTATAGCATAGACTTTTAACTGTCCACCGAAAATTTCTTCTTCCCTTCCTCTTGGGCACACAGCTAGACTACATTTCTCAGCCTCCTTTGTGGTTATGTTTGGTCATGTGACTGAGCTCCAGTCAACTAAATGTGAGTAGTAGTGATATGTGCCACTTCCAAGACTAGTCCATAAAATCCCCACCCTCTTGCTTAATTTAACAAGCAATAGCCTTTGAGTTGTTTTATGTTTGAGCCTATTTTTAAGGTAGTAAACCTACCTAATACAGTATCTACCGAATCTATCATCCTATTTTACACCAAAATGGATTACACACAGTGTCCTACATCTCATTGTGGTTGTTTTATTTAATATATCTTCATATATTTCAATAACATCTCAATATATGTATTTTAAATTTAAACATATAACAAGAGATGACCATCTAAACAGCGTGCATTAATTCACATTTCCACTAGAAATTTATAAGAGAGCCTATATTCTCACCTGTCTATGATGTCATTACACTTGCAAAAATTTGGTGAAATTAGGTGACATATTAAACATAATTTTTGGTTTGATTTGCATTCACTTGACTATGGAGTGATCACCTTTTGTATTTATCGGCCACTTGTATTTTCTCTTGTATAAATTAATCTGTCCATATGATTTTCCCATTTTTCTATGTATTTTTCTTATCAAATTTCAAAGCTTTTTATATTAAGAATACTAACTTTTTGACTGCTCTCCAGGTAAAATATTTTCTCCTAGTCTTTTATGTCTTTACTTCATTTAGGATGTCCTTTGACATACAATGTCTGTCTTTTTCTTTCACAGTTTCTGAATTTCCTGCTTTGCTTAGGAAGATCTCCCTTTCCGTGAGGTTGCACAAGACTTCTCCTAAGTTTCAGTGTAGTAATTTTACTGTTTATCCTTTGAATTCATATCTAATTCATCCTACATTTATTTTTGCATAGCATGAAGTGGTTAATTTTAATTTTCTCCAGATGGATAGCAAATATTGCCTGCATCATTTATTAAATGAATTATCTTTTTCCCGTAAAAATGTCACGTCACTTTAGTCATATGTTGTTTCCTTTATACTTTGAACTATTATAGTCTGTTTATTCTGTTCACTGATCTATTTTCCCTGGGTTAACTCTATCCTATTTTGACTGTAGTAGCTTTGCGGTAAATTTTAATATCTAGTAAGAAAAGTTGCCCATCTCTATAGCTTTTCTAGAAATAATTTTTATGACTATTATGAGACTTATATGCTTCCATATGAATTTGTTATTCTGTACTAAAAAAACTCATTGGAATTATGATTTGAGTTGCATTACATACATACAAATGTAGGAAACATTTACATTCTATGATGTTAAGAATTCCTATTTATAATATATTACTATAACAATATAGTTTATTTTAAATATTTAAATAATTTTGTTTATATAGGTATTATACCTTTTAATTTAAACTTACACCAGAATTTTTTGCCACTGTGAATGAGAAATTTCTTCCATGTTCATTTCTAATTACTTGTTGCAGTGCAAAGAAAAATCTTGATTTTTAAAACATTATCTTATCTCCAAGCACCTTGCCAAGTAATTTTATTAAGTTTAATAGCTGCTTGACTAATTCATTTTGGATTTTTGAGGTATGCAATATTATCATCTACAATGAAAAGATACTTCTGTCTCTTCTTTTATAGGATTTAAGCTGATTGTTTCATATTCTTGACTTACTACCTTACTCATTATTCAATAATTATTTATTGAGAGAGTAATGCGCGAGGCATGGTTCTGGGTAGTAAGAATAAAGCTGTGAGTAGAACAGAAAAAGTGCATATTATAATGGATGGCACATGTAAACAGGAGTAATATTAGATTATTATTGATGCTGAGAAGAAAATAAACCATGGAAGGGGGATGGGAAAGCTTGGGTGGGGGGATAAAGGGAATTGAGTTTTAAGCAGGGTGGCCAGGGAAGGCCTCACAGGGAAGTGATCATTAAAAAAATGTAAATCAAGCTTGTCCAATCTGTGGCCTGTGGGCTGTATGAGGTCCAGGATGGTTTTGAATACTGTCCAACACAAATTAGTAAACTTTCTTAAAACATTATGAGTTTTTTTTGGTTGTTGTTTTGTGTGTGTGTGTGTGTGTGTGTGTGTGTCTGTGTGTGTGTTTTAGCTCGTCAGCTATCGTTAGTGTTAGTGTATTTTATGTGTGGCCCAAGACAATTCCTCTTCTTCCAGTGTGGCCCAGGGAAGCTGAAAGATTGGACACCCCTGATCTAAATGATAATAACGACAGTAAACATCTCTCCCATGTTCGTAATTGTAATGGAAATGGCTTTAGCATTCACTACTCAGTATGACATTTGTTGGTTGAAATATGAATAAATAAAACAATAAATAATGAATTAATCTATATTATACATGTATATATAATATTTGTAATTATCTTAAAAGCATTATCCTATTACATATTGCTGAAGGACTCATTTTGTTGGAAATTCTTCTAAATTTCATAAAATACACATTTAATTTTATCATATGGTATTTTTCTCTTTAGTAAATGTGAAGAGTTCTGTTGAGAATCTTTCTTATGTTGAAATGTCTCTATATTCTCAGAATAAATCCATTTGATCACAGTATAGCATTCTCTAATACTCAGAAGCATTGCATTTAATATTTTATTTAGAATTTTTGTATCTGTGTTCATAAATAAAACTGATCTATATGTTTTGTCAATAAAGATTATTCTAGCCTTACAGAATGAAGGCATTATTTGTTCTTTAAAAATCTGGAAGAAAAAAGCTGTAATAGAATCTTTAGCCTCGTGACTTAAAAAAATTCACTGGAGTATAATACACATACAATAAAGTGCATGACTTTTAAGTGAAGTTTTACTTATTTGTACACAAATGAATTGTAAAAATATTTCCAATAATTAATAATGTATTCTCTTTTTTATATACCACTGCACTTTATTTGTTAGCATTTTGCTTAGCATATATTTTCATAAACAACATTGATGTTTTTTATAATACCATGTTAATAAATTTTTAAGTAACATTTATGTTTTTTCTGTAATATACTTCAGTGATTTTGCTATCAGGGTTAAGCTAGCTCCATAAAATGAGTTGGAAAGTGGTCCTTCTTTCTTTAATCTCCGAGTGTTTAAGATTGATACTATTTCTTCTTTAAATGATTGGGCCCTTAAATGGCTTTTACTTGTGCTTGTGAATTGGGATGCAAGCAAGCAATTTAACTATATATTTTAAAAAAATTATTACACCTGTCCTACCAAAGTTCTTGTTATATAACACATTTCCTTAAAGGAAAAAAATAAATATAATTATATAATTAACCAACAACATACAGTTTATTTTCCTTTAGTTTCAACATGAAATTATGAGTCTTTAAACTTGATATTTTTCATAGGAATTTAAAAAACTATTTCCCAGAAACCCCTAAACAAATCGGGCTGGATATTCTGTCCTTTTAATAGTTAGATGATTCACCCTCATCATCATCCGTGGGCAACTTTTCTGATCACAAATGTAAAGTGAAGCTTAGTGCTTCCCGTACTGGTTATACTGGTTCCTTGCCTTGCTAGGTGGGGAAATACCCTGGTGGGTGGGTGGAAAACCACAAGTCTCAAGTTATATCCTGCACTAAAATTAAAAAACAAAAGTGTACTCAAATTGGCAAGGAAAGAAATTAAGAAGAGATTACAGGAGACTTTAAACAGATAATATATATGTCTAAATAAACCTTTAGTATGTTTATTCTGTGTGAACATACTAGAGGAATATATAAATTCAAATGAGAATTAACAGGATAAAATAGGCGGCAGTAAACAGAAATGTTCAAAGGAATCAAGAAATTACTGAAGTGAGAGTTAAGACATCCGAATGAAACATTTAAAAACAGGTAGACATCAGCCACGAGAAGCTAAATTTGGAGATGTACAGGACTGTATAATAAATGTGGACTTGAGAAGAAATTGTCATTCAAAGAAGGCAGCAGCAGATGATTAAAGGTGATAAAAGAAAAAATGTAATCTAGGGTATTACATTAGGGTAGTGAGCAGAAATTGCAAAAATATCTGTTCAATTTTTTAGAAAAGAGTTTCTGCAGGAAAAAATTAGAGGTTGAGAGTAAGCATCTACAGTGGGCCAGATATTCTATGCATACTTTTCCTTTTAGTCGTCATGACAAGAACATAAGTAGTAATCATAATCATCTTTACCTTTGGGGAAACTAAGGCTCAAGACACTAGCCGCCGCAAACCAAAGTCACACACAGCTAGTAAGGGTGGCAGCTAAAGGAGATTTTTGTCAAACTTATGCTAAAAAAAAAAAAAAGAAAAGAAAGCGACCAAAACCTAACCATCTATATTACAACGTGATTCAAAAGAAATGAATTCAGAAGATAGCTGAGGTGGATGCAACTGGAGAAATGTTTTGCAGATTGTCCTGGGGGACCACTTTGACTGCTTGTGAAAGTAACACATTAGTGGGGATGAGAACTAGATTGCAGAAGGTGAAAGTAGCATAGAAAGAAGTGGCAGAGAAAATCAGAGGTAACGGGCGCAGGCCACTCCTTTAGAAGAATTTTGGGAGCAAAATGCATAGTAAATTATGAATAACTATTTAATATTGAGTTTTCTTAATATATTTTTGAGTAATATCTAGAAACACAGGTCAAATGATGGTCCCAACAAAGAGTGTGTTCATTCTCTAGGATGGCTACATTTACGAGCTCTAATTTCTCAACCGTTGTTGTTTTTAAAATCATTCCCATATACTGGATAATTCTTAAGAGTTTTTTTTAAATAAAGGAGTTGAACTAGCACTTAATTTCCCAAAATATAATCTGTTGGACTCTGTTGGAAGAACCTCCTATTATGTATTTTCTTTAAAGCCATTTTATTAACAATGACAGCAGATGACAGCACTGACACCTCCATTCAAGATGCTAATGTATTTTTGAGAGAACCCTTACATTTTTTATGATGTCTGACAACATAAATGGATCATCTGGGAATTTTTTTAATGAAGAAAAGAAGGCATCATTTAATTTTAGTTTTGGAAAAAAAATTTCCTATTAGTTTTTGAGGGGTGGTTTCTGGTTATGTTCCCAGAGTTAACTGAATTTTTAGTAATTTGCTATTAGTACTCACTACACTTGCTGAAGATTCTGCTAATGAATATTTTATAAAGCAGGAGGATGTTCGGTCTCAATGTGGATGACTGCCAAGTCTAAATCTCTCACCTTGATGTCGTAGCTCAGCTCCAGCCCCATGTTCTCAGCTGCCGGAGGCTAACCCCATCTTAATATCCCATCATTAACTTAAATTCAACAAGTGCAAAATCAAATTTCATATTTTATTCCTCAAACTCTGCTGACTTCCTTATGTTTGTTAATAGGTCCATTGAACTAGTGACCCATACTGAAACTTTCAACTGCAATCTTAAGAGCTACTGTATTGAGAGCTTTCTATTAGGAATTATGATGTTAAGAGTTTAGCAAACATGTGTATTTAATTCTCACCAAAATCCTATGAGGTAGGTAGCAGTATTATCATTCCTTTACAATGAAGAAGCTGTGGCTTAGTGAGATTAGTAATTTATTTGAGGTCACTTAACTTGTGCCTGGGACAGCAGGACTCAGACCTACAAATGTCTGCAAATGTCCAGAGCTCGAAACTTTCAACTGTCTTCATATTGTGTTGGGGTCACTTCTGACTCCTCTTTCCCCTTGCCTACTCATGTAGACCTTGCCCCCATAGTGTCTCATAGAACTGTCCTCTCCTTTCCATTTCCAATGCCACTGCCTCTTCCAGCCTCTATTACCTCTCACCTCCCCAAAGAGTCTTTCTGTTCTTTTCCAACATATTCATTTTCTTAGAGCGTCCGTTCATTTATACTGTTAGCCTAATGAAAAACCTTTAATGATTACTCATTTTCTTACCCAGACACTCACAAAGTATTCTTCTAATCTTAGTTCTTTTTTTTTAAATTTTATTATTATTATTATACTTTAAGTTTTAGGGTACATGTGCACAATGTGCAGGTTTGTTACACAGGTATACCTGTGCCATGCTGGTGTGCTGCACTCATTAACTCATCATTTAGCATTACGTATATCTCCTAATGCTATCCCTCCCCCTTCCCCCCACCCCACAACTCTCCCCAGAGTGTGATGTTCCCCTTCCTGTGTCCATGTGTTCTCATTGTTCAATTCCCACCTATGAGTGAGAACATGCAGTGTTTGGTTTTTTGTCCTTGGCGATAGTTTGCTGAGAATGATGGTTTCCAGTTTCATCCATGTCCCTACAAAGGACATGAACTCATCCTTTTTTATGGCTGCATAGTATTCCATGGTGTATATGTGCCACATTTTCTTAATCCAGTCTATCATCGTTGGACATTTGGGTTGGTTCCAAGTCTTTGCTATTGTGAATAGTGCCACAATAAACATATGTGTGCATGTGTCTTCATAGCAGCATGATTTATAATCCTTTGGGTATATACCCAGTAATGGGATGGCTGGGTCAAATGGTATTTCTAGTTCTAGATCCCTGAGGAATCGCCACACTGACTTCCACAATGGTTGAACTAGTTTACAGTCCCACCAACAGTGTAAAAGTGTTCCTATTTCTCCACATCCTCTCCAGCACCTGTTGTTTCCTGACTTTTTAATGATTGCCATTCTAACTGGTGTGAGATGGTATCTCATTGTGGTTTTGATTTGCATTTCTCTGATGGCCAGTGATGATGAGCATTTTTTCGTGTGTCTTTTGGCTGCATAAATGTCTTCTTTTGAGAAGTGTCTGTTCATATCCTTCGCCCACTTTTCGATGGGGTTGTTTGTTTTTTTTCTTGTAAATTTGTTTGAGTTCATTGTAGATTCTGGATATTAGCCCTTTGTCAGATGAGTAGGTTGCGAAAATTTTCTCCCATTTTGTAGGTTGCCTGTTCACTCTGATGGTAGTTTCTTTTGCTGTGCAGAAGCTCTTTAGGTCAATTAGATCCCATTTGTCAATTTTGGCTTTTGTTGCCATTGCTTTTGGTGTTCTAGACATGAAGTCCTTGCCCATGCCTATGTCCCGAATGGTATTGCCTAGGTTTTCTTCTAGGGTTTTTATGGTTTTAGGTCTAACATTTAAGTCTTTAATACATCTTGAATTAATTTTTGTATAAGGTGTAAGGAAAGGATCCAGTATCAGCTTTCTCTATATGGCTAGCCAGTTTTCCCAGCACCATTTATTAAATAGGGAATCCTTTCCCAATTGCTTGTTTTTGTCAGGTTTGTCAAAGATCAGATGGTTGTAGATATGTGTCATTGTTTCTGAGGGCTCTGTTCTGTTCCATTGATCTATATCTCTGTTTTGGTACCAGTACCATGCTGTTTTGGTTACCGTAGCCTTGTAGTATAGTTTGAAGTCAGGTAGCGTGATGCCTCTGGCTTTGTTCTTTTGGCTTAGGATTGACTTGGCGATGCGGGCTCTTTTTTGGTTCCATATGAACTTTAAAGTAGTTTTTTCCAATTCTGTGAGGAAAGTCATTGGTAGCTTGATGGGGATGGCATTGAATCTATAAATTACCTTGGGCTGTATGGGCATTTTCACAATATTGATTCTTCCTACCCATGAGCATGGAATGTTCTTCCATTTGTTTGTATCCTCTTTTATTTCATTGTGCAGTGGTTTGTAGTTCTCCTTGAAGAGGTCCTTCACATCCCTTGTAAGTTGGATTCCTAGGTATTTTATTCTCTTTGAAGCAATTGTGAATGGTAGTTCACTCATGATTTGACTCTCCGTTTGTCTGTTATTTGTGTATAAGAATGCTTGTGATTTTTGTACATTGATTTTGTATCCTGAGACTGCTGAAGTTGCTTATCAGCTTAAGGAGATTTTGGGCTGAGACAATGGGGTTTTCTAGATATACAATCATGTCATCTGCAAACAGGGACAATTTGACTTCCTCTTTTCCTAATTGAATGCCTTCATTTCCTTCTCCTGCCTAATTGCCCTGGTCAGAACTTCCAACACTATGTTGAATAGGAGTGGTGAGAGAGGGCACCCCTGTCTTGTGCCAGTTTTCAAAGGGAATGCTTCCAGTTTTTGCCCATTCAGTATGATATTGGCTGTGGGTTTGTCATAGATAGCTCTTATTATTTTGAGATACGTCCCATCAATAGATAATTTATTGAGAGTTTTTAGCATGAAGGGTGGTTGAATTTTGTCAAAGGCCTTTTCTGCATCTATTGAGATAATCATGTGGTTTTTGTCTTTGGCTCTGTTTATATGCTGGATTACATTTATTGATTTGCATATGTTGAACCAGCCTTGCATCCCAGGGATGAAGCCCACTTGATCATGGTGGATAAGCTTTTTGATGTGCTGCTGGATTCATTTTGCCAGTATTTTATTGAGGATTTTTGCATCAATGTTCATCAAGGATATTGGTCTAAAATTCTCTTTTTTGTTTGTGTCTCTGCCAGGCTTTGGTATCAGGATGATGCTGGCCTCATAAAATGAGTTAGGGAGGATTTCCTCTTTTTCTATTGATTGGAATAGTTTCAGAAGGAGTGGTACCAGCTCCTCCTTGTACCTCTGGTAGAATTCAGCTGTGAATCCATCTGGTCCTGGACTTTTTTTGGTTGGTAAGCTATTGATTATTGCCACAATTTCAGATCCTGTTATTGGTCTATTCAGAGATTCAACTTCTTCCTGGTTTAGTCTTGGGAGGGTGTATGTGTCGAGGAATTTATCCATTTCTTCTAGATTTTCTAGTTTATTTGCGTAGAGGTGTTTGTAGTATTCTCTGATGGTAGTTTGTATTTCTGTGGGATCAGTGGTGATATCCCCTTTATCATTTTTTATTGCATCTATTTGATTCTTCTCTCTTTTCTTCTTTATTAGTCTTGCCAGCGGTCTATCAGTTTTGTTGATCTTTTCAAAAAACCGGCTCCTGGATTCATTAATTTTTTTGAAGGGTTTTTTGTGTCTCTATTTCCTTCAGTTCTGCTTTGATTTTAGTTATTTCTTGCCTTCTGCTAGCTTTTGAATGTGTTTGCTCTTGCTTTTCTAGTTCTTTTAATTGTGATGTTAGGGTGTCAATTTTGGATCTTTCCTGCTTTCTCTTGTGGGCATTTTGTGCTATAAATTTCCCTCTACACACTGCTTTGAATGTGTCCCAGAGATTCGGGTATGTTGTGTCTTTGTTCTCGTTGGTTTCAAAGAACATCTTTATTTCTGCCTTCATTTCGTTATGTACCCAGTAGTCATTCAGGAGCAGGTTGTTCAGTTTCCATGTAGTTAAGCGGTTTTGAGTGAGTTTCTTAATCCTGAGTTCTAGTTTGATTGCACTGTGGTCTGAGAGACAGTTTGTTATAATTTCTGTTCTTTTACATCTGCTGAGGAGTGCTTTACTTCCAACTATGTGGTCAATTTTGGAATAGGTGTGGTGTGGTGCTGAAAAGAATATATATTCTGTTGATTTAGGGTGGAGAGTTCTGTAGATGTCTATTAGGTCCGCTTGGTGCAGAGCTGAGTTCAATTCCTGGGTATCCTTGTTAACTTTCTGTCTCGTTGATCTGTCTAATGTTGACAGTGGGGTGTTAAATTCTCCCATTATTATTGTGTGGGAGTCTAAGTCTCTTTGTAGGTCACTAAGGACTTGCTTTATAAATCTGGGTGCTCCTGTATTGGGTGCATATATATAGTTAGCTCTTCTTGTTGAATTGATCCCTTTACCACTATGTGATGGCCTTCCTTGTCTCTTTTGATCTTTGTTGGTTTAAAGTCTGTTTTACCAGAGACTAGGATTGCAACCCCTGTCTTTTTTTGTTTTCCATTTGCTTGGTAGATCTTCCTCCATCCCTTTATTTTGAGCCTATGTGTGTCTCTGCATGTGAGATGGGTTTCCTGAATACAGCACACTGATGGGTCTTGACTGTTTATCCAATTTGCCAGTCTGTGTCTTTTAAATGGAGCATTTAGCCCATTTACATTTAAAGTTAATATTGTTATGTGTGAATTTGGTCCTGTCATTATGATGTTAGCTGGTTATTTTGCTTGGTAGTTGATGCAGTTTCTTCCTAGCCTTGATGATCTTTACATTTTGGCATGTTTTTGCAGTGGCTGGTACTGGTTGTTCCTTTCCATGTTTAGTGCTTCCTTCAGGAGCTCTTTTAGGGCAGGCCTGGTGGTGACAAAATCTCTCAGCATTTGCTTGTCTGTAAAGGATTTTATTTCTCCTTCACTTATGAAGCTTAATTTGGCTGGATATGAAATTCTGGGTTGAAAATTCTTTTCTTTAAGAATGTTGAATATTGGCCCCCACTCTCTTCTGGCTTGTAGAGTTTCTGCCGAGAGATCTGCTGTTAGTCTGATGGGCTTCCCTTTGTGGGTAACCTGACCTTTCTCTCTGGCTGCCCTTAACATTTGTTCCTTCATTTCAACTTTGGTGAATCTGACAATTATGTGTCTTGGAGTTGCTCTTCTCGAGGAGTATCTTTGTGGCATTCTCTGTATTTCCTGAATCTGAATGTTGGCCTGCCTTGCTAGATTGGGGAAGCTCTCCTGGATAATATCCTGCAGAGTTTTTTCCAGCTTGGTTCCATTCTCCCTGTCACTTTCAGGTACACCAATCAGATGTAAATTTGGTCTTTTCACATAGTCCCATATTTCTTGGAGGCTTTGTTCATTTCTTTTTATTCTTTTTTCTCTAAACTTCCTTCTCGCTTCATTTCATTCATTTCGTCTTCCATCACTGATACCCTTTCTTCCAGTTGATCACATCGGCTCCTGAGGCTTCTGCATTCTTCACGTAGTTCTCGAGCCTTGCCTTTCAGCTCCACCAGCTCCTTTAAGGACTTCTCTGCATTGGTTATTCTAGGTATCCATTCATCTAACTTTTTTTCCAAAGTTTTTAACTTCTTTGCCATTGGTTTGAATTTCCTCCTGTAGCTCAGAGTAGTTTGATCATCTGAAGTCTTCTCTCAGCTTGTCAAAGTCATTCTCCATCCAGGTTTGTTCCATTGCTGGTGAGGAGCTGCGGTCCTTTGGAGGAGGAGAGGCGCTCGCTTTTTAGAGTTTCCAGTTTTTCTGCTCTGTTTTTTCCCCATCTTTGTGGTTTTATCTACTTTTGGTCTTTGATGATGGCGATGTACAGATGGATTTTTGGTGTGGATGTCCTTTCTGTTTGTTAGTTTTCCTTCTAACAGACAGGACCCTCAGCTGCAGGTCTGTTGGAGTTTGCTAGAGGTCCACTCCAGACCCTGTTTGCCTGGGTATCAGCAGCGGTGGCTGCAGAACAGCGGTGGCTGTAGAACAGCGGTGGCTGTAGAACAGCAGTGGCTGTAGAACAGTGGATATTGGTGATCTGCAAATGCTGCTGCCTGATCGTTCCTCTGGAAGTTTTATTTCAGAGAAGTACCCGACCATGTGAGGTGTCAGTCTGCCCCTACTGGGGGGTGCCTCCCAGTTAGGCTGCTCGGGGGTCAGGGACCCACTTGAGGAGGCAGTCTGCCCGCTCTCAGATCTCCAGCTGCATGCTGGGAGAACCACTACTCTCTTCATAGCTGTCAGACAGGGACATTTAAGTCTGCAGAGGTTACTGCTATCTTTTTGTTTGTCTGTGCCCTGCCCCCAGAGGTGGAGCCTACAGAGGCAGGCAGGCCTCCTTGAGTTGTGGTGGACTCCACCAAGTTCGAGCTTCCCGGCTGCTTTATTTACCTAATCAAGCCTGGGCAATGGCAGGCGCCCCTCCCCCAGCCTCACTGCTGCCTTGCAGTTTGATCTCAGACTGCTGTGTTAGCAATCAGCGAGACTCCGTGGGTTTAGGACCCTCTGAGCCAGGTGTGGGATATAATCTCCTGGTGTGCCATTTTTTTAAGCCCATTGGAAAAGCGCAGTATTAGGGTGGGAGTGACCTGATTTTCCAGGTACCATCTGTCACCCCTTTCTTTGACTAGGAAAGGGAACTCCCTGACCCCTTGCGCTTCCCGAGTGAGGCAATGCCTCGCCCTGCTTTGGCTCGCACCCAGTGTGCTTCACCCACTGTCCTGCACACACTGTCTGGCACTCCCTAGTGAGATGAACCCGGTACCTCAGATGGAAATGCAGAAATCACCCATCTTCTGCGTTGCTCACGCTGGGAGCTGTAGACCGGAGCTGTTCCTATTTGGCCATCTTCCTTCTAATCTTAGTTCTAACCACTTATCTTCGTGAACACTGTGTTTTATCCAGCCTAGGCTTCCTGTAATCTTCTGCCTGTTGAAATTCTAATCTCTCCATCACAGTCTAGCTTAAATTTTCTTTCCTTTCATGAAGGCTTCCTTGATTCTGTTAATTGGATAAATGTATTCTGGATTTTTCTTATGACAACATATTTGAGCCTATACTGTGGTCACTTGTGTACTTCTCTTTTCACCCCTATAGGATCCTAGTTCCTCAGGGGTTGAACTGTGTTTGCTATTATCTATGCAGCTGGGAGTTATGTAGCACAGTGCAATGCACATAATGATAACTTTAAAAGTAAAAATGATTTTTATTTCTAGGCACTGTCAAGTTATGTGGTCCATGTCCTCAATATGTCTTCAGTCTATTAATAGTAAGGGAAACAAAACTAGAATTCAAAAGTTAGCTAGAGAACAATCAAGAGCTCAACCACGAGAATAATCAGAGGAGAGAGAGAGCAGGAGGCAAGCAGTGAATAGAGAAGGACTGAGAGAAAAGGTAAGACCTGAATGTGACCCTGAAAAGCGAAGAAAGTGGCTTAAGTGGGAGGGGGTGTTCCAAGGTAGGAAAGCATGAGTGAAGGCTCTGGAGCAGGGATGGGCATGGCTGGTCTGGGAAGAAGGATGGCACTTTAGGAGAGGAAAAAAATACCAGGGAAGTTCAGGGCATTTCAAAGTAAAACAATTCCTTCAAATTTATAGTGTCATTGTTTTAAAAATTTCTCATGATAAGGTTCTGTGTGATAATTTCATTAAAAATTTCTCATGATAAAGTTCTGTGTGATAACTAGCTTCTCCCAAGTTAGTTGCAAGGAGTGAGTTTTTACTATGTATTCTTATACTGCTATATAATTGCTAGAATTCATCACTGAGTATCTGAATTACAGTGTGTAGCAATATGCTGGCAAACTGCTTTCTTTTTTGTTTTTTAACTGCCGTCATGTTTTGCAGTTTCGATTCTCAACACAGCCTGGGGAAGACAGTAAGAAATTATCTCATGGATTAGAATTTAGAACTCTAAAACAAACAGTCATTGTTACAATAGACTTTGTATATGTTAAAGAAGTTTCTTCATTTTCATTTATTCATACAAAATTAGTGATATGATTACCCCCGCTGTTGTTCCACGAAGGGAGATGTTCACCAATGTGTAATGAAAATATGAAGCTCATTTACTTGTTATACGTGTAATCTAATCCAGATTGAAAACTGTTCTATGGAGATTGACAAATATTGGTTGTGATAAATTATTACATAGACATATTCCCACTAATGCACTAACAGAAAAAAAAAAGTGAAAATTGACAAATTCATTTTGAATAATCACTTTAAAAGCCAGAAAATAGCAGAAGGGAAGGGATTTTAAAAGTATCCATTTTTTACTACATGTCATTTTTAGGGAAAAGTAAGACACCAAAACATTTTAAAATTAAAGCATTAACTGGTTTTCCATTTGCTAAACTCTTTTTGATATGAATGATAAATCATTTTTTCCTTAAGACTACAGCATTGCTAATTTTCTCCATATGTGTACAATTTGTCTTTGACCTTTAACAAATGTCCTCTAGGCAGTCCACTTACCATCCAAGAACAACGCCACAACATCATTTTACTTGCACACAAAGACTTGAAAGCTTCATAAAAATAAATGATCCGTGGCGTAAGATACATTAACCAGCAGAATAATAAGCTATTTCAGCCCTGTAAATTTTAGCACCCGTCTATTCAAAAACCTCACTGGGTCACTTTAGTATTAAATTCATAGGAGTAAAATGGTAACTACACATGCTTTATTTGTTAAGGTGCCAGCCATATATTTTGTGAAAAAGTTTGTTAGCCTAGGATATTTAAAAGCAATGTCTCTTTCCAATAAATGATTTTATGTGTTACAGACACATTTAGTATTAAGCATCATGTATATTTAATATCACAATGTCTACTTCAGTGTCCCAAAAAGCCTTTATTCACTTTATAGTTTCCATTACTGAAGAGCCAACTTTCGGTTCTCCCACAATTGTGTAAAGTGCAGGCAAGCCACAAGAGCTTCTAGTTTTAGCTTGCAGCCCGTGGGACCACGATAATTGTTATGAAGCCATTAATTCTACCTCAGCAGTTTCAACTGTCAGGTACATGTAACAATAATTGCACTTAATGAATGCTGCTCAATTTATTAAGTACAAAATGAAAACCAGTATTCTTTTATATGCAGCACTGAGGCACATTATTTATCATTTGTGTATACCATGTTGAATATTCTACTATCATTTATTGGTCAGGGTATATAGCCATAGTTTTTCTAAAGCTTCTTTTTATTAAAAAACAATGCAGGAAATTGTAACACTCTAATTAAAGAATAATTAAAATAATTAGTACCAAAACAAATATTTAATAAGAATCTATGTCTATGGAAAGCAATCCAGCAAAACCAAGATCAAGTTCCTGCTTTAGATAAACAAGATTCTTTCTGTGGCTACCCTCCCCTCCCCAAATCTTTACTAGAATATGAAAAAATTCAAAAGCTTCCAGTTGCTTGAAATATCAGTGTTGTTTCTTTCTCAAAGTTTTTGGCAGTAAAACTTTTGTGTACAGACATACAGCCTGCCTCAGAATTTTCAAAAGTAAGAGCTAGATTTCTTATTTTCAATCACTCAAGGTAAACTGCATAGACATTTGCAAGAGCGAAGAGAGAAGAATTTCTGAAAACATAAGATGAAAAGGTATCACTTTTAGGATCCCAGAGGCATCTGCTTCCAATAAGTATGCTCTGCCTGTTCAGTTGTCCAATGTGAACAATCACAATTAGTTTATACCGTGGAATCATCAAGTCCTTGACCTGGGCTTTAATAACCTAGAAATTTAAAAAAAGGGAGGGTCTTCATTCAGCTACATTGAAACTCAAAAGCATTAACCTTTGTTATAAATATAAGGGATTTAATTTAATAGCATGATGCATTGTAGATACTTTCAGTGATTGTTTTAGAACCGTAAGTATGATTCCCTTCAAGCATGGTCCCCTTGAGATAGAACATTCAGGAACAAAATTTTAACACCAGCAATAAATCAACCTTTTCTAAGATACATGAAATAATTATAATCCAGAACACAGAATTTAATAAATTACATTCTTTGAAAATTTATGTTAAGATGGCTTCATGTCAAAGAATGTTGGCATTGGAGTTACACTGTCTTGTTCATGTCTAATTAAGAAACCATACATCTGGAGTCTCCTGTAATATAACTAATCATTAATGTTTATTAAAGAGTTTGTTATCAAAAAGAAAGTAGAGGAAACCTTGATGAAGTGCAGCCCTGGGGTTTGTAAAAATAGAAATGTGCTTGAAGACCACAATGTCTGTATTTGATGGCACTCAAAGAAGCTGCCTTAGTGAAGAGAAAATAATCATTAAAATGTTGTATCTTTTACAATAAACACTTTTATAAATGGGGCAGTTTTATACACTTTTACATAATGCATGCAAATGATGCTCATGATTGTTTTAGACAAAGGCTTTATGTATATACACACACACACACACACCCACACACACACATATATGTAGAATATGACCTAATTATAAATACGCATTTTAACTGTTACTGCAAATTAATTCCCCTCATCAAAAAAGTAGAGGGTCCGTTGTACTTTAGCAAATATTCTAGCTATTGTTAACACTTTGGGCAAATCACACACGTACCTCAGAAATGGTTTTAGTCATCTGTCTACAGAGCTCTGGTTCATATTCTTCTACTTGTAGATAGCTGGTTACTACATCTTTCAAAATATGATTGACGGTGACCACAGGAAAATGTTTGGGAGGACCTGAAAATACACATAAAATTTATTTCTAAAAAGTAATTTCAAATCACACCCACCCACCCCATAGGCTAATCAAAAGAGTATGGAAACATGGAGGGATTTAATCTTCTGGGTGGACTCTATTGAAAGAAACAAGTGGCTCTAATTAGGTTTCCTGTCAAGTGCTCTGAGAGAGAACAAGAAGACAATATTTTCGTACATTTACGTGACTATCTCAAAAGTGTGTTCAATACTGCTGGGGTTTGACCTTGAAAGTCTCTTCCTTCCCAGGCCCCATTGTTGTGGACATACTTCAAAGTCTCAACAACTTTATAACTGGCTCTCTACCTCTTATATCTCCCGCTCCAATCTATCTACCAGATCTTAAATGACATTCCCCTTAGCGAGGTCTAAAGTGTGATTCCCTACTGCCCCTTCTCCCGCTACCACAGTGCCCCTCTTGTGGACTGCTCCAGCCTCACAGGCTCCATCTGTCTATAAAGGTGCTCCTGTGTCCTTACTCTTGCTCTTTAGTTTTCAAATGGAATATCTTTCCCCATCTTGTTCATCTGAGAAACAGCCACTCATGTTTCAAGACCATCTCAAATGTCTTCTTCTCCAGGTAGCACTCTACCTCCTCTCAGGTAAAAATGTCCCTCCTTTCCATGCACTGGGTCCCCACTGCCATCCTGGCTCCTAATCCACTTGATATTGGCTAAAGCATACCTGCGTTTCCAGTGAAATGGTAAGCAAGCTCGGATTTTATCCTCCTCAGAGTCTAATACAATGCTAAAGGCATAAGAAATTTTTAATGTATGATTTCTGAATTTAAATAGAATTAAATTTTATAGATAATCATTATATATGATATATGACTGTATATTGTATACATATATAATAATGAATACTTTTTATTAAGCCGTTGCTACATGTCAGGCAGTGCGATAAGCACTTCATATTACCTTATATAGTCTTCCAATAGATCTCTGAGGTGAATCTCACTGTTATCTCCATTTGGCAGGTGGGGAAACAGAGATTTATATACATTGAGTAACCTGCCCAGAATCACACAGAGAGGCAGAGCTGGGGTGCACACCCAGGTTTATCTGATGCTAGAGCTTATATTCTCGACCACATTTCATCCACGTTCAGAGGAGAAGCTTCAAATGAATCTTCTTCCTCCTGCATCCCAGGAATATTAGCCATATCATCACTTTGGTCATATACTAATGTCATTGCATGACATGAACATGTGCCCAGGGCCTGGCATACAGAAGCCCAGTCATTATTTGTTGAATTGATAAAGATGAAGGAATGAGATCAAGAATTCTATTCAATTCTCTTTTAATATATGTCAATATCTAGTAATAAGTGTTTGTTTGTGATGACTGTATCTGTCAGGGTCAAATGAAACATATGGCACCCTATAGTTAAAATAATTCCAGGAGGAAGTTCTGAGTGGGCTGTAGAAAATCACAAGGGATAGTGCAGCACCCCTCAGCCAGTGAAAGTAAGGTTGTCAGCCCACCCCTCCCACCCCAAGATTGGGGAATAGAGGAAGAGCTTTTAATAGATCCCAGAAGGGTCATGTGGAGAGGGCTCCCTTGGGAGCAGTTTCTGTCCTTTGGTTGAAGAATGTAACCAGGCTGTGATGAACTCACAGGCAGGAGCCAGGGAAATAAACAGCTCCACCTCACACTTCTCACTCCCTCTGCCTCTCAGCTGAGGTTTCCCACTGGCTGAACTTAACCAGAAGGTTACAGCCTCTGACTGCAGTTCAGTTAGGTGAGCCTCTTGAGGTTCTATAAATCGTTATTTTTATTTTGATGATAATATAGAAATTGTTGAATTCCACTTAAATCGTGGAAGGGTGGGGGTGGAGATTGAATCTAGAAAGTGGTTCTTAAAGATCTCCCCATCATCTCCTGCGAACCCAAGCCTAGGGCATGGTTGATTAACCCAGGGTGACAATGCTCTAGGCCAGGACAATGAGAGTCTTTTTTTGGAATTTTTATTTTAAACTGCAAGTAGGAAAAAAGAGTCAGCCTCTTTCTGGTGGCAAAAGTTACCATGTGACTCTGAGGACCTGCTGGAGGACATGTTTTTCATGGTGGTAAGGAGGCCAGGCCACCAAAAGAGAAGAAAGTGCACATAGGTTAGTGCTGGAAAGAGGGTCCTGGTGGCACTTGAGTCTGTTTCCAGTAGTTCCCGTTGTACAGTGCTACCAATGTCCTTTCCATACTTCGCTTAGATTAAAAAAAAAGTCATTAACCAGATCCTGTTTTGAAAATACTTTGAAATATGGTAATGAAGTATTCTTTTCTTACTTCTTTGTTACCTTTCCCCTAAACATCCAGAATCATCCATCAATGTTCAGTTTCTGACTTCTGAAATAAGCTCCTAAAACTAGTTTCAGAGTAAACTGATGTGAATGGCAAAGCTTTTCTTCTTTCTCGAGATTTTTTTTTTCCTTAGGAGAAAAAACGTGTTTTAGAAATCAAAAGGCAAAGACCTGAAGGATCAAGACAAAAAAAATTTTAAAAACAAACAAAACTTGTCCTTAAAAAGTAGATAAAGATAAGTTTACTTAATGTATGTGGGCCTCCACTACCCCACATTGGGGTAATAATAATAATTACTACATTTTTTTTTGTTAGAATTAAATGAGACAATAAATTGAATATGTTTAGAACAGTGCTTGTCACACAATAAAACACTCCTTAGATATGTGATCTTATTAGTGTTATTGCTGTTATTGTAGTTATTGCATGCTGAAGGAAGAATTGGGGATTTACCTTGCTGAGAAGGCAGCAAGATGAAAGAGGACGTAAGTCTGGAGACAGTGAGGCCTGTGGGATTAGGAAGGACCCCATGTGGTGGTGTAAAATCAATGCTGAGAGATTGACAGGCTCTAAGAAAACCTGACATAGAGACAGGGCCTGAGCACTTCATGGAAGCTGAACTCAAATAATCTCTCTCTTTCTCTCTCAATATTTTGGATCTACTTTCTACTGTGCTGGCTTCATTCTCAAGGCAGGCTGTCTTGATGTGGTAGCAAAGATGGCCGCCAATCTAGTTTGGCTCGGTGCTCGCAGTCCATGTTTGCAAACAACCAGGTGCCACTATACTCAGTTCCAGAAAAAGTCCTGTGGAAAACTTATTCCATAATTAATATGAAGTTACAATGAATATCATGGAAGGCTTTTATTCTTAGTGATCTATAGTAAGGTCCTTGAGTCAGTCACTTTCAGGAGTAGTAACATGATGAATGGAGAGATTTAAACATATAACATCATTTGAGTCTCATAGCATCCATGTGATGTATAGACTATTATCCCTATTTACAAGTGAAGACACTGAGATTCAATGATGCTAAATACCTTGCTCAAGGAATTAGCAAAATTAGTATTCAAATTCAGATACGACAGATGCCACAGCCTGCATTTTCTTTTATATTTGTTTTAGTAATTAATGAGAAATATATAAATGGTATTTTATTAAAAGAAACACACTTTCCTTTTCTATTCCCTTTTCTCCTCTCATGAATGATACTCATGTTTCATCTCATTTTTTGTAGCTGTAATTATTTATGTAAATGCTCTCATTTAAGATGTGTTTAGATGAGGCAAACATTATTGAATGGAATGAAAAATTAATTAAACATAATAGTGCTGGTGATTGGCTGATATTTCCCTCTACTTTTCTGGCCAGTATTACATTGTAAAGATATGATAAACTATTTACCAAAGTCCCACTGATATAGTTTGGATATTTGTCCCCTTCAAATCTCATATTGAAATGTGATCCCCAGTGTTGGAGGTGGGGCCTGGTGGGAGGTGTTGGGGCCAGGAAGGTGGATCCCTCATGAATGGCTTGGTGCTGTCCCAGCGGTAATTACTGAGTTCTTGCTCTATAGTTCTTCCTCTATTAGTTCACATGAGAGCTGGGTGTTTAAAACAGCCTGGCACCTCTCTTGTTCCCTCTCTTGCCATGTGACATGCCAACTCTCCTTCCCTTCTGCCATGCCTAAAAGCTTACTGAGGTCTTACCAGAAGCAGATGTTGGCACCACGTTTCCTGTATAGTCTCTAGAACCATGAGCCAAATAAACCTGTTTTCTTTATAAATTACAGTCTCAGGTATTTCTTTATAGCAATGCAAAAACGGACTAATACACTCACAAAATACCTTTCATATGTGAAATAAACCCAGAAACAAGTAGAAGTGGAAACACAGTTTTGATTAAGTATTAATAAAATGGCTGGTTGAATGCTATAAAAAGGGAATTGTCAAGCATAAAATATTTTAATTATTAAAAAATTCACATAGACTATTGTAGGAAAATACAGGTATATTTCATCTATACTAAGCTTTTTCTAAAATTACTTTTCTAATGTGGTTCATACTCAGTACTTCTAAAACTGATAAGATGCTTTATTTGAGAAAACAAGTTGCAAAAAATATCCTTATGTAGAAACACAGAGATTCACATTTCACTGGCCCTGTCTTGTTCAAATCTGATTCAAACCCTTCCAGCATGCACAGTTCAAAGTCATAGACACCCCATGGCTAAGAACTTTTAGTTGCAAGTGAGGGAAAACCTGACCCAAACTTAGCTTGCCTAACTGAAAAGTTAAAGGGTAGCCAATTGGATTTAGGACTCAAATGATGACACCAGGATTCTGTTGTTTTCTCTCAGTTTCAAGTCAGGGCAAGGTGGCAGATCCTGCCAGAGCCCCTACATTCCTTCAAGTTTCAGGGCTTTATGTTCTTCTGCAACAGGCCAAACAACATTTTCTGAATTTAATCTCAAAGTCTTTGATTGGATTCACCATGGTTATATGCCATCCTAGAATCAGTCACTGCTCTATCTATAAAGCCAGTGCCAGCTTCATTAGAATGCTAGGATCAAAAGTGGTGATGTTGGTGGAATTTCAAAGGAAATTTAGTGAGGTTACCAGAGAAGTATAAAAGTATATTGGATGGCAGGAATATTAGCTGTCCACCACAGGCACTGTGAAAATACCAGTAGATTGGCTAATTATGGAGCCGTGTAATCCATGTAGTCTTGGGGACTCCTGTAGAAAACTGGCTACAAGGCCAGAGGGGACAGGCTGATGGTCTATAATTTTCTTGGGGTTAACTGGCCACAGATGGAATCACCTTGGCCCATAGAGTCTTTCTTTGCCCCTTGGTAAATCTCTGTGGAATTTCCATATAGCAGTAATTATGTATGAATTCAGGTAATAGTGGGCAGGTACGCTTTTAGAGAAAACAAGTGGGTCTATGAGGAAACATGGATGGGAAAAGATATTTGCCACGGACTCCACCTGGGAGTATAGCGGCAGGTGCAAAGATCTTTGTTTTCAAAGACTCAAAACCTCAGTGGTAATGGATAAACGTCTCTGTCAACAGGGGACTATGAGTCATTTGCCTTTGCTTTGAGTTTTTTTTTTTCCTTCACCTAACAACACTGATTGGTTTTGTTGGATAAAATATCAATACTTATCTCTTTCATTTAAGTCATATCTATGTACCCAGAAATACTCAGTGAATTTGTTAAGTCAGTAGTATACTGTATGCATCAGTGCCACCCAGTGAATTGTTTGGCATTTGGGAAACATTAGTAAAGAAAAGTAAGACAGCAAGTGTTGTTACCTTTTTGCTGAGGAAGAAACTAAAGCAACATCAAATCACTCAATTCATTAAAGTCCCTTATATTGTGCTAGAATTGAAGACAATGCCAGGTTATCAAATATCATTTTTAAGAGAATCAGTCACCAATTTAGAAGTTTAAAATAGGAGTGAGAGATAAAAGAACACACCCAACTGATAGGTGTTTTCCATCTGAACTGTAAGGCGAGAGATATCATCACGCTGACTGGGTTCTTCCATATAAGACACAGTACTCATAGAACTAAAAACAAGGGAGAAAACAAATTTTAGTCATTATTATAACAATAATAACAAAATACAATATTGCTTTAAGCTAAAATGTTACAAAGATGAAGTTTTCTCAGAAAATTTCAAGTAAGTCTTATGTAAATATCCTAGTGGCATATTGAAAGTCCAAAACATTTTAGAGATGGAAATATTAAGATGCAGAGGAATTATTTGGAGCAGGTCTCAATGTGATGGCTGAAGCCCAGGGCAGTTACCCAGGTCATCAAATTATCCAGAAAGCGATCCTGGGTTGATGTATGTGTATGGGGTAACAGTACATACTTCAAAATCCATTGCCAATCGCATCTCCACCACTGATATAAAGCCTCTCCTCAAAGTAGATAAAGCTCACAAACAGGGCTGGGGGACATATGAGGAAGCTTAAAATGTTGGAAGACAACTCTATATACACATGGAGTATTATAAAGAGTTCACTATTATATGTAGTTCACAAAATCCCTTTAGTATGAAAAAGAAAAATGAGAAACTCATCTACGTGGTAGAGGAAACCGCAATTCACCAAAACTATAATACATTAATAAGCATCAATCGGCCTTTTCAACATCGAAAAAGGGTTTTGGTTTCGTTATCAAGGCAATATGAGCTTATCCTGGTGCTAAACAGGAGACCCAAGCAAAGAGGAGGCCCCACTGTCTCTCCAGCACTACTTAATTCAACTTAGTTCAGAGGAAATTCAGCTGTAACTAATGACAGTCTCAGAATGCTGCACCCTCAATTTTCTCCACCTGTGAAAATGAACTTTAAGACAGATGTCATTTCAAAGGGGAGGATATAATAGCATGTGTGTGTGTGTGGGTGTGTGTTTGTGTGTGTGTGTGTTCAGAGTGACCACTTTTCTAAGCAGGCTATGTTTTTGCTTTAATTAAATAAAAAATAGATATTTGCTCTTAATCTTTGGGGATCTTTTTTCTTGCAAGGAATTTAAAATACTTAGTTCTACGCTGTTTGGAATTAATGAACTTCTTGCAAATCGATATTTTAAGAAAATCACGGGTAATCTATTTTTAAAAATCCTTTAATGCAATACAACTTACATGATAAATTAGGGTTTACCCACTCAGCCCAAGAAAATGATGGAAGAAATTCTGGCTGCTTTTTTCATGGTGGATTTCTGGATGAGTGACTTAATCTTTATTCTTATAACACCTGCCTTCCTCAATTTACTGCTGCCCTTTGAAGTAGCAACCAGCCTGTTTGGCCACACTGGCTGCAGGTGTTGTGGGCAATACCAAAGATGATTACTGCTGCTTAAAAAACCCAATGTTACATAAACCCCTTGATTCTAAGATAAGTCAGTCTGCTCCATTACTATATATGCTACTTTTAACTTTGTAAAACATTTCCCATAAATTATCTCATTTTACTTTCACAATATCCTTTGAGGTAAGTAAAAGATTCATTATTCTACCCATTTCAGAGATAAAGGGAATGAGGCAAAGGGCTTAATGTACATGTATAAAAGGCAGACAGATTTCAAATGTCCTGTTTACCTCTTAGTGACAAAGTCCCAAGTATGATTATAACAGACAGAATGAAAATAGGGACAATGAAATAATTAATCACTGCAATTAAAACTTACTTGCATAATACAGAAGGTATTCATAAAAACTCAATTTCTTTTCTACTGAACACCATATTAAAAATTCATGGAGAAGAAGAGGTGGTACAAAACTCAAATTAGCTGGAGTGAAAATTCCAAGACAAAAAAGCAAATAAGGATTTTTATAAACTGTCTTCACTATCAGTTACTGAAGATTGACAATCAGTGCACTTAATATTATTATCATTATGAAACTGGTAAATGTCATAAGGGCAGCTTAAAAATCCCACTGGTTGAAGATTGGTGTGCAAATAGAAAGTTTTGCAGATTGACTTTTTTTGAGTTATTGTAGATAAATTTGTTCAGTGCCCTTTTATTTCCATAGGAATCATATAAACAGTGTATGCTCATTTTACAAATTCAAAACATACAGAAAAACATAGAGAAGAAAGTAAAATTACAAAAAATTATTAACCTCAGTTGTTCTCTAACCCCTGTTAACATTAACAAAAATCATTTCAGACATTTGATTTTACATATGGGCTCATATTATAGATGCTTTAAAAAAATTTAAAATGTATCATGGATAACTTTCCATGTCAATAAATAGCAAACAATACTTTAAATATCAAGACAGTACTTAATACATACACATTCTGGATTTCATTTAACCATGTATCATCCATGCCTTTTAGGCTATTTCCAATATTCTACTATTATAAAGAAAATTATAATGAACATCGTGTCAGGGACTCTTATTTACTTTCTAAAGTTGTTCTTTCCTTCTTCCTTGGTAACAGAATCCTACATTTGTAGGAATATTCCTGTGCAGACTAAAGACAAATTCTCAGTCTCTTTTTGTGCTATTGTGGCCTATGTGGCTTATGAGTGAATGAGATGTAAGTGGAACTGTTGTGTGGAAATTCTGAGAGGTTCCTCAAAAGAACTAATGCAGCCTATAGGAGCCTGTTTTGACCCTTCTTTGTGACTGGAATGTGGATATTCCAGAGCTCAGCACTATCTTGGGTCTTGAGGTGACCTTGCAGATTACAGATAAGAAAGAAGCCTCTGAACTTCCTCTCTTCAGACTTATTTTATGTAAGAGAAAAATAAATTTCTATTTTGTTTAAACTAATGTTTATTATTATATGCAGCAGTAGATCTGATAGAAAGTCTAACTAATGCAGAGTTTGCTACCTGGAAGTGGGATGCTACAAGTAATCAATAAATCATAAAACTTGGGGCTGGCAGTGGTGGCTCACGCCTGTAATCCCAGCACTTTGGGAGGCCGAAGTGGGCAGACCACTTGAGGCCAGGAGTTCAAGACCAGCCTAGGTAACATGGCAAAACCCCATCTCTACTAAAATATATTTTAAAAAATTAGCTGGGCATGGTGGCACATACCTGAGATCCCAGCTACTTGGGAGGCTGAGGCACAAGCACAGCTCGAAAGGAAGGTAGAGGTTGCAGTGAGCTGAGATCATGCCATTGCACTCTAGCCTGGGCAACAGAGCAAGACTCTGTCTCAAAAAACAAAACAAAACAAAAACCAGTAAAAACCCATAAAACTTGGAATTAGTTTTAGAGAGGAACTGGGGCTTTGAGGAGTAAATTTTCTATATTTTGCTGGAAACCTGGTAATTTTTTTTTTTTAAACTATTATTTTAAGTTAGGGGGTACATGTGAAGGTTTGTTATATAGGTGAACTTGTGTCACGGGAGTTTGTTGTACAGATTATTTAATCACTCAGGTATTAAGCCTAGTACCCAATAGTTATCTTTTCTGCTCCTCTCCCTCCTTCCACCCTCAACCCTCACGTAGGCCCCAGTATCTGTCGTTCCCCTCTTTGTGTTCATGAATTCTCATCATTTAGCTCCCACTGATAAGTGAGGACATGTGAAGCCTGGAAATTCTTATCATGCAGAGGTAAAATAATTAGTCTATTGCTTTCTGTGCCTTGGAAGGCTGACTGTGCATCAATTAAGACTATAACATCATAAAAAAGTATAGGAAATGTTTACTTTTTAAAACCTGTATTATAAAAATCTGAGATCTGATAGTTCCCACATTAGAATGAAATGGGTTAGAAAAAGGGAGAGAACAAAAAAGAAGGAAAATGTTGAATAGAAAAAATAAGATATTTATTCCTTGAGAAAAGAAAAAAGGAAAAGAGAAAATATTTAAAATGCTTGCAGGTATGGGCAAATAGCATTAAACCAGAATATGAGCTTGGCAAATTTTTAGAAATAAAACAGTTTTATGTTTTAAAATTGGGGAATTGCCAATATCAGTTCAGAATACTGGTTTAGAAAAACCTGGGCATATTTTCTATTGATAAACAGCTTCACTCAAATCCTTTGAAATCTTTAAAGATAAATATGTGAGATACCCAAAAAGTAAATTTATAATTTTAATTACCAGTGCCATATACCTGGCACAATACATTTTTGGGGTATATATCACAATATTACACATGGATGGGTTTCAGTTGTCTGTCATCAGACTTTCCCTAGTTTACAATGACAACCCTTCTAGACACGTGATCTCATTGTAAAGTGAATGCTACGGTTTTATTTTTTAAATATAAAAAATATTCTTGCTGTCTATGTGTTTTACCAGCTTGCTGGCATTTATGGAGAAAAAAATTCAATTGGCAAAACGTGTCCCAGAGAGTTATAAAGTTTTAGAAAGAAAGGTAGATGAAAAGTAATGTAATAAAAGAAAGTCTGGCGTAAACCACTGGTGAGAACACTTAACAAACTAACTAATATTATTGCAGATGGAAGAGTAACAACTTGTAATTCAATGAAAAATACAGTGAATATCTGAAACCACATGTGCTATTGCTGAGGACAGACAGCCTGCATACAGAAGTAGCTGCATGAAATTGGTCCAGAATAACAAAAGTAATCCTCCTTATTTGTACCTGGCTGACACTGGAAATGCACCATGCTAATCCAATAGTATGCATTCTGATTATTTGCAGGAAAAAGACAAAAAAATTATTTAAGAAGTTAGAGCCTGTAGTCCCAGCTGCTTGAGAGGCTGAGGCCGGAGAATTGCTTGAACCTGGGAGGCGGAGGTTGCAGTTAGCCGAGATCACGCCACTGCACTCCAGCCTGGGCAACAGAGCAAGACTCCATCAAAAAAAAAAAAAAAGAAAAAGAAAAGAAAAAGTTAGAACATATTTACTCTTTAATGAAATTCATTTTTTTCTTAAAAACATCTTGCAAATTTGCTTGCTGACCAGTCTTTGAATTACCTAGATAAACACAAGGCATGTCTTTTTATTATGACAGTTAGAGATGGTAACAATAATTTCAGTTAATTCTCATCAGCCACAATAGCATCTAATTATTATTGAGAACTCATTTCCATACGTTTTCAGAGTTATTATTATACCTAGATGTTTTGAAGCTGCAGGAAGAGATAATATTGAACGCATAACTGGCCTTAGAGACATTAAAGTAGTATCTTTAAAGGTCAGAATATCATCTTTTCCTTCTATTTGTAACTATGAAATGCCTGGAACCACCATGTTTATAAATATAGTATCATTTAAGTGTGTCTTCTTCGGAGGGGAGATAAGCTGTTATTAAATCATGTGCTGCCTCCCAGTGGTGATATTTCAGAGTGCACAGAGAAAAACAAGGTCTTCAGGGTATAAATTTGTACATTTGTACTTTCCATTTTTCTTCATTCTTTCAACAAATGTTTATTGCCCACAACATGTCAGGCACAGTGGGAAGTACTGGTAACACAGATAAAAATAAGAGCCCTTCTGCTCAAAAAACAGGATGTAGAATGAGATTAAATATGCATAGAAACTCCTTTACTTGGGAACTTTCCACCTAAGACTATCCATGGATATTTTTATGAGTGTTATGCTCAAGAGCAAAGCATACCAACTTGTCCCCAGCAGTAGATGATGTTATTTGTCTGGTAAGGTAAGTTAGTTTTGCAGTTATTTAGTTTATTCCAAATTTGCTGGATTTTTATGTACAGGCATATCTCATTTATTGTGACTCACTTTATTCTGCTTTGCACACAATGTGTGTTTACAAATTGAAGGTTTGTGGCAACCTTGCATTGAGCACATCTGTCAGCATTATTTTTCCAACAGCATGTGCTTACTTCATGTCTCTACGTCACATTTTGTTAATGCTCACAATATTTTAGATTTTCATATTACATCTGTTATGGAGAGCGATGATCAGTGTTATTTTATGTTATTATTGTAATTGGTTTAGGGTGCCACAAACTGTATCCATATAAAGAAGCTGACTTAATTGATAAATGTTATGTGTGTTCTGACTTCTCCACTGACCAGCCATTTCCCATGTCTCTCTCTTTGGGTCTTCCTATTTCCTGTGACACAACAATATTGAAATTAGGCCAATTAATAATCCTACAGTGGTCTCTAAGTGTTCAAGTGAAAGGAAGAGTCCCACATCTCTCACTTTTAAATCAAAAGCTAGAAATAACCAAGTGTGGTGAGGAAGGCATGTCAAAAGCCGAGATAGGCTGAAAGCTAGGCCTTTTGGGCCAACAATTAGTCAAGTTGTGACTATAACTAAGTAGATTTTTTGTTTGTTTGTTTTTGTTTTTTTTTGAGACAGAATCTCGCTTTGTCACCCAGGTTGGAGTGCAGTGGTATGATCTTGGCTCACTGCATCTTCAAACTCCCAGGCTCAGGTGATCCTCCCACCTCAGTCTCCCAAGTAGCAAGGACTACAGGTGCACACCACCACACCTGGCTAATTTTGTTTTAATTTTTTGTACAGACAGGGTTTTGCCATGTTGCCCAGGCTGGTCTCGAACTCTTGAACTCAAGTGATCCACCCACCTCAGCCTCCAAAGTGCTAGGATTACAGGTGTGAGCCACTGCACCTGCCTGAAAAGTTCTTGAAGGAAATTAAAAGTGTCACTTCCGTGAACACATGAATGATAAGAAAGCAAAACAACCTTATTGCTGATTTGGAGAAAGTTTTAGTGGTCTGGATAGAAGATCAGACCAGTCACAAATTCTCTTAAGCCAAAGCCCAATCCAGAGCAAGGCCCTAACTCCCTTCACTTCCATGAAGGCTAAGAAAAGTGAGGAAGCTATGGAAGAAGTTTGAAACTAGCAGAGGTTTGTTCATGAGGCTTGAGGAAAGAAGCCATCTCTGTAACATAAAAGTGCAAGGTGAAGCAGCAAGTGCTGATGTAGAAGCTGCAGCAAGTTACCCAGAAGATCTAAGATCATCGGATAAGCTAAGATCATTGATGAAGGGGCTACAATAAGCAACAGATTTTCCATGTAGATGAAACAGTCTTATTTCAGAAGATGCCACCTAGGGCTTTTATAGCTAGAGAGAGGTCAATGCCTGGCTTCAAAGCTTCAAAGGACAGACTGACTTTCTTGGTAGCAGCTAATGCAGCTTGTGCCTTTAAGTTCAAGCCAATACTCATTTACCATCCTGAAAATCCCAGGGCCCTTGAGAATTATGCTAAATCTACTGTGTTCTATAAGTGAAACAAAAAAGACTAGATGACAGCACATCTGTTTTACGGCATAGTTTCTTGAATATTTTAAGCCCACTGTTGAGACCTACTGCTCTGAAAAAGAGATTCCTTTTAAAATATTACTGCTCATTGACAATGCACCTGGTCACCCAAGAGCTCTGATGGAGATGTACAAGAAGATTAATGTTGCTTTCATGCCTGCTAACACAACATTCATTCTGCAGCCCATGGATCAAGGAGTAATTTCGACCTTCATCTCATTTATTTACTTATTTTTGTATTTTTAATTGATGTATCATAGTGATACATTTTTATGGGGAACATGTGATATTTTGATACATGCATACAAAATGTGTAATGATCAAATCAGGACAACTGGGATATCCATTGCCTCAAACATTTATCTTTTCTTTGTGTTGGGGACATTAAAATTCCTCTAGCTATTTTTTTCCCCTAACCCCCACTAGCTATTTCGAAATATATAATAAATTATTGCTAACTATAATTTCCCTACTGTATTATTGAATACTAGAACTTATTTTATCTAATTGTATTTTTGTATGTATTCACCAACTTCTTTTCACCCCATAAATCTTACGATTTAAGAAATTCATTTTGTAAGGCTATTGCTGTCATAGATGTGGATTCCTCTGATGGATCTGGGCAAAGTAAGTTGAAAAGGATTCACCATTCTAGAAGCCATTGAGAACATTTATGATTCATGGGAGGAGGTCAAAGTGTCAACATTAACAGGAGTTTTGAAGAAGTTGATTCTAGCCCTCAGGGATGACTTTGACGGGTTCAAGTCTTCAGTGGAGGAAGTAACTGCAGATGCAGTGGAAATAGAAAGAGAACTTGATTTACTGTTAAAGGATACAAAATTATAGCTAGATAGGAGAAATAAGTTCTAGTGTTTTTACCACTGTAGGGTGACCATAGATGAAAATAATACATAGATTCAAAGAGCTAGAAAGAGGACATTGAATGTTCCCAACAGGAAGAAATACTAAATGTTTGAGATAATGGATATGCTAATCACCGTGATCTGATTACTATACATTATATTTATGGAAAAATCACTATGTACCCCATGAATATGCATAATTGAAATTTTCAATAAAAAACATAAAATTTAAAATGGTTAAAAAAGAAATGGAACTTGAATATGTGGCTGAATTGCTGCAATCTCATGGTAAACTTAAACAGATGAGGAGTTGCTTCTTACAAATGAGCAAAGAAAGTGGTTTCTTGAGATGGAATCTACTTCTGGTGAAGATGCTGTGAACACTGTTGAAATGACAACAAATAATTTAGAATATTACATACACTTAGTTGATAAAGGAGTGGCACGGTTTGAGATGAATGGACTAATTTTGAAAGAAGTTCTACCATGGTAAAATGCTATCAAACAGTATCACATGCTACAGGGAAATCTTTCATGAAAGGAAGAGTCCATTGATGTGGCAAGCTTTAAAATTTATTTTATTATTTCATTTCATTTTATTTTTATTTTATTTGAGATAGTGTCTCTCTCTGTTGCCCAGGCTGGAGTATAGTGGTATGATCAAAGCTCACTGCAACCTCAGCCTCCCAGGCTTAGGGATCCTCCTGCCTCAGTCTCCCAAGTACCTAGGACTACAGGCAGGTACTACTATGCCTGGCTGATTTGTTTGTAGGGAAGGGGGTGTCTCACTATGTTGTCCAGGCTGGTCTTGAACCCCTGGCTGCCGTGATCCTCTTGCCTTGGCTCCCCAAAGTGTTGGAATTATAGGCGTGAGTCACTTTGCCCAGCCTGTTGTCTTATTTTATGATATTGCCACAGCTATCCCAACCTTCAGCAACCATATCCCTGATTAGTCAGCAGATGTCAACACTGAGGCAAGGCCCTCCACTAGCAAAAAGATGACAACTTGCTGAAGGTTCAGATGATCATTAGCATTTTTAGCAATAAAGGATTTTTATACTAAGGTATGTACATTTTTTCTTTAGATAAAATGCTATTGAATACTTAATAGACTACATACAGAACAGTGTAAACAATTTTTATGTGCACTGGAAAACTAAAACATTCATGTGACTTCCTTTATTGCAAAATACACTTTATTGCAATGGTCTGGAAATAAACCTGCAATATTGCCAAAGTATGCCTGTAGTTTTTAGGTATTTTACTCACATTATTTGCTCCATTTTACTAGTAAGAGAAAGGCTATAATGGAAAGAAAAGATAATTTTCAAAAATGAAAGAGGCAGGAACATGACAAATGACACTGTCTTGTGGAACATATTTTTTTCGAGTAGAAGTGATGCTGAAGGATAAAGAATGAACCATGCAACCTGTGAAAAGCGCAGCTCTGGAGTAATTGAAGGTAATCCAGAAATGGTGATTGACAAAGTACAACAATTTTAAGTATGTGGATAGAAGATCAGAGTTAGTGTCTGAAGCCTGTTGAGCTAATGCTCATCCAAGAGCAAGGGAGGTGATAGTTAAGCACAGCTGATGAACTTTTGTTGCAGCTCTTGGATGAAATGCATTGGTTCAAAGCTGTGTCACGCTGGGCAATCATCAGAGGTGATGCTGGTAGTGCAGGTGCCATGAATACCTCTACAAAGCTGTGGAGATCATCAAGGAGGAGTGTGGCCTATTACAACAGATTTCCAACACAAATGAAACTGTTCTTTTGGGTTTTTTAAAAATAGATGCACAATGGAATGTGTCAGCATGGAGGTAAAGGTATACATTAAGAAAATCTGAACAAGCATTTTTCTATTTGCTGTAAATGCATCTTATGTCTATAAGAGGAAAGCCCCTAGTCAACCTGGACTTAACACATGCATGGACCTGTGAACCTAACTTGTTCGTGAGCAAAAGAAACTTGCTTGCTCAGGAATTGATAAAATGCAACAATTATTCATTCGATGATCACAAAATATGTACTGAGTGACTATTATATGCCAGGCACTATTTTAGGTCTTTGGGATGCAATACTGGAAAAAAAACAAAAACAAAAACAAACTATGGTCTCTGCTCTCATGGAACTGTTACTTTAGTAAGGCAAGACAGAGAATAGACAATAAAATACTAAACAAGCAAATTATATATTATGATAAAAGGTGATACATGCCTCAGGGAAGAGAAAAAATAGAGCAGGTTAAGGGAGTTTGGAAGTGGGTGGAGGAGAAGATGTGATGTGCAATTTCAAATGAAGTGGTCAAGGTAGGCCTTCATGAACAAAGAAAGGAGGTGAGGAAATGAACCACATGGATGGCTGAGGGAAAGGTATACTAGGAAGAGAGAACAGCACATGCAAATGCTTTGAGACAGGAGGCTGCTAGTGTGTTTGAGAAAATGCATAGAGACAAGTAGCAGAGGGAGGAAGAAGAAAAGGAGTGAAAGAAGATAAAGTTGCAAAGGTATCAGGTAGCTAGATCATGTAGGGCTTTGTGAGCCATTATTCTGTAAGCTCTTACTCTGATAAAGCAGACACACCCCTGTATTTTCTAAAAACCATTAACTTTCTTTGCCAAATGGCGATATCAGGTTTTACTCTCACATGCCTTGCCAACATTTGGTATTATTCTCTTTTCTTCTGTTTTGCCATTTGGATGGGTGCAAAATGGTATTTTGTTTTAATTTATATTTTTTCTGCTTGAAAGTGAGTTTTAGCACCTCTTCATATTCTGCTTAGCTATTTGGGCTTTGTTTCTGAAAATTGCTGTCTTCTTTGACTATTTTAAAAATTGTTTTCCTAGCATAAGTTGTTAATGTACAGGGTTTAAAAAAACGTGTATGTATCTTCAGCCAGCCTATTAATTATGTCTATTGTATCCTTTGTTGAGCAGAAGCCCTAGATTTTATTGTGGTTATATTTATCCAAAAATTATTTTGCTCTATGGTGTGAGTTTTCATTTTGGGATCTTCTTTCAGAAATCTTTCCTTACTCCTAGAACATAAAGATATGGGCCTGTGCTTTCTTCTCTTAGCTTTGTTAATAGATTCCCACATTTTGGTCTTCCATCTGGAGTTTACCTATGCAAAGCATATAAGGTAGGAGGCCAGCTTCATTTTCCTCCCTATAATGAGCCAGTTTTCTGCCAACACAATCTATCATTTCCCCATTTACAAACATAAATGGGGATAAAAATATCTTGTCTGTTTAACTTACACAGATATTGTATGTGAAATGGCTTAATAACCTAAAATGACAATACAATATTAGTTGTTATTGTGGTTTCATTTGGAAACATGGCCATTTCAGTTTTCCCAAACTATTTTCTCTTTTTGGGGGAGGCTATATCTCAGGTAGGTCTTGTTGGGGGCTTTAGTTTAACATACATGGTGATACAACTTATCTCCTAACTCTGATCTTCTAATCTCTAGCCTTCTCCTTCAGGTATCAAAATGAAGAAATTGTTCTGGCAGCACCATTTTCAATTGCCCGTAAACAGCTCACAGTAGTATAGATTGAATGATAGAATAAATTCATTACTGTTGAAATGAAGTAATGAATGCAATCATTTCCATTTTGGTCACTTTTACTGGCAAGACCTAGACAATGTGAAAAAAGTTACCAGGCAGCTCTCAGTTTCCCTGAAAAATGAACTTATCTAAATTAGAAACCTGTAGTTATTCACCTTTATATGCCTAATATGTGGCACAGTAATTGGCACATAGAAGCTAATAAATCCTGAATAAATGAAGAAATACATATAGTGTGGCCTAACTGGTATGTTAGATGCCATCAGTGGGTTCACACGGGGAGCTGTGGGATCCATACAGAAAGTTCTGGTAACATGACATCACTGTAATTTTGGTTTGAGGCAAAGGAGAGAATGTTCAGCCCCCAACCTTGTCCCTAATCTACTAGTGGAACTCCTGGCCTCACAGATAACAAGCCTAGACATCATGTCACATGATCCTGTGAAAGTAACTTGACCTCATAGCTTCTGTTTCCATTTTAAGGAAATGAGAGAAGCACATCTGTTCAAACACTGTTCAGTGTCTGCCAAAGTCTGAGCTTCCAATAAGAAAGATGTAATTGTAAAGACCTGCTCTTACTGTGGACGGGAAACAGAAGGTTCTGGTGAATGAACAGAATAGTTTTATTAATGCAAATCACACATGGATTGCCAATTTTCAGGAAATGAAAATACTCAACTAATAAACAAAAGCCCATTTTTGCTGCTTGTTAATTCTGTAGCTTTGGAGCCTCAATCTCTCTAAGCTTCTGCTTCTTCATTTGTCGAATGGGGGAGATAATAACATCTATCTTTATAGAGCAGGAGTTGGCAAACATTTCTGTAAAAGGCCAAATAGCAGATATTTTTGGATTTGCAGGCCCTACGGTTTCTATTGTAACTACTCAACTCTGCTGTTACAGTGCGAAAGTGGCCAGAGACAACGCACAAGTGAATAGGAATGGCTGTGTCCTAATAAACTTTATGCATATAGAGATTTGAATTTCTTGTTATTTTTACATGCTGCAAAAAAAACTGTTCCCCTTTTGATTTTTTTCACCTATGTAAAAATCGTATTTAGCAAAACAGATGCAGATTGGAATAGGCCCTTGGGTCATAGTTTGCCAACTCCTATTATGGAGCTTCTATGATACATAAATAAGGTTCATCGCAAGGGCCCTATAAATGTTAGCTATTATCATCCTTATTATTATAAATTGTTCAGGTAAAAAATAATTTGAAATTACAGATGGAGTATGATGACCACTGTGTAGTGTACTGTCTGGACTCAGACAGCATGGGTCTGATATATGTATGTCCAGGTCTAACAGAAATATGCCAACACACTAACAGTTAGGATAATAAGATCCAGCTTAAGATGTTTCTGTTTTTTCTTTAATAAAACATAAAAATTACATTAAATTGAAAAGATAACTTAAAAACAGACCCAATCTTGAAAACAGTTCACAATAATATTTAATATAAATTTAATCTTCTTTTTGTAATTCAGAAGGCATTTCAGATATTTATTCTGTCTGGGGATCATTGTTAAGCATTAGTTACAACTGTGGAAGACTGTAGACATGGAAACCAAGACTGTAGGGCTAAATCTGTGCTGATCTTATACCACATATAAGAAGCAGCTTTTCAAGGAGGTCTACCTTTACTCTTCATGTCCTCCTTATAAGTGTGGTTACCGCTAAAAAGACAAATAAGTCCATAGTCTGTTGAAAGAGATAGACAAGCAAATCACCAAATATAGTGCATATCGAAGGCAAAAGCAGTAGGAGAAGAAAGGCAGATCATCCAATGCAGTCTGGAGGTAAAGGTGGTCATAGATGAGTAATTAGAGAGCACTTCCCAAAAAGGTGGAGATGGAGCGAAATTCTGATGGAAGAAGTGAAGAAAGCCAGGGGAATAGTGTAAGAAGAGCATTGCAGGCAAGGAGTCGGGGTACCCCATGGGGAAGCAACATGGGGCAATGGCTGGGGGCCAGATAGAGCACTGAGGAATAACTGAGTATAGCTGGAGGGGATGATGCCCGCAAGATGGTGGGGAAGATGGTGCTATGGAAGTAGATAGGGGTCTGTGGACTTTGTATCTCATAGTCAGGATTTGGGACTGTATCCTAATCATTAAGTCAAATTACTTGACCTGTAAACTTTAGTTATTTCATAGTAAAGTGGTAGAAATGATGCCTACCTAGTAGGATTAATGCGGGGGAGATTCAGTGAGATAATGTATTCAGTCCTTAATAAACTTCAGAATGTTTTACATTATTGAAATTTATATTTTCAAAATTGTTTTAAAGTAATTTTCAAATGAAAGTTATATGTTTTTCCATAAAACACTGCAATTTCAAAACAATGCCTGTATTTGATAGTCACTAAGCTTTCAGAATTTTTCTACTAGTTGAAGCCTCATTCATGAAGGAGAATAACTTGTACTGTCTAATTCCAGACAGTGAGGAAGCCAATGGAAAGCAAGTATTAATACAAGTTAGCATGGGGTGGGGGAGCCTCCTAAATAGTCTGCATTGCAAGGGGACTTGGAAGCTGATCATTTGCTATTTAAGAAAAAAAGTACAAATAGAGGTTCCATTCTAAATGTTTTGTTTGGGAGTCCAAAACCAAAATAGTTATCATTTAAATGTAGTTGTCAGTGAAAAATCTATCCTAATGTGTTGATAAATATGATTTTTGTATTCTTATTTTTAATATGTATTTATATTCATCAATAATAGGTTAAAAAGAGTGATCTCTAATTCTTCAAATGTAGCCACACTCTGATTCTATATGACAAATTTGTTTTGAAGGGGAAAAGATAAGTAAAAGTCATGCAAATAGGAATTACAATTTAATCTTTGGAGACAGTATTTAAAAAAATATCATGGGTACGTAATTTATGTCAGACTATTACTTAAATAGTTTCTTGGAAAACGTAAGTTGAATTTAAGCCAACAATCAGTTTTAAATAATTTAAAAAATAACCCTTGCACTTAACTATTGGAAATAGCAGCCAGAAAAGTTTAGAAGCAAAAATTACAAAGATTAATCATTCTCCCACCTTTACTTCTGACATGTGCTGGGATTGCTACTCCTTTATAGTCAGTTTCCCACCTGTAAAAGGCATTGTATGTGTAATCCACAGACTTCCAGGGCTGGAATGTGGAGTTGCAAGTAGGCATTAATACACTCTGAGAATAGAAAGATTTTGGTTTCAGAATTCTAATTATTCCAGTTCTTCTACTCTCTGTTCTGCAGGACACCCTAGCTCCTGCTTCCCAATATATACTCAATATACAACATCCTCCAAAGCTATAGAAACTAAGAACGAAAGTCTATTATTAATTGACTGCTACGTCGATAATTTGTTTTGTTTTCTTCCCAACAGCAGTCAAAAGGAAATGCCATGAAAATATTAAAAATTGATGTATATCTTTAGGAGAGAAGATGCAACATGTAGCAAGAACCAAAAAATCTACTTATTGCCCTTTGACCTACTAATTATTCTTCTGGGAAATGACCAAGCACAGACATATAGTAAAAAAGAAAAAAAATGGAAACAAACTTAAAGTGTCCAATAATTAGAGAATGGTTAAGGAACCCAGAATCATAAATTGACAAAATATTATGCAGTCATTTAAGAGGATATGGAAAAAACTATGAAAATACATGACAAAATTATATACAATAATGTTAAGTACATTGTATATGTATGTATTGATTACAAAAATGCAAAACCTATGTTATAAAATATTGAGGAGAAGAACTCAAAAGACATATAAGCGTGTCTGGTTTACATTGCATGTGGTGTTTCTTTTGAGCAGAGGGTTTTTTGGGATGATTTTTGAAATAGCAAAAATGCTGCTAGGATTAACTTATCACTTAAGCTTTCTCTCTTTCTCTTTCTTTTTAAATATGGCCCCTAAAGATGACCTGCACCTTGTACTTGCCCATTTTATCTCTTTTTATGTCCCCGAGGAAGTGTTTTTTTCTCCTAATAAACATTACGAACCTATTTATTCAATAAATGAATTTACAATTTTAGACAGTTACTCACTCTTTGATGCGCCCATGAATTTCCTTTCGCCAAAATTCATGATTACTTAGAGAAGAAATACTCCCTCTTTTCTTCCATGAATGAGCTGCTCTGCCTTTAGCATTGTCTGACATCATCATAACCTATGGAAGAAGACTTTTGTAAAATAGCAAAAGAAAGATCCGGAAACATTTTAGTTAGTATAACAGGGACTAATCTCAAAGTACACAGATAGTTTTCCTACCATTTTTGAACAGGAAAGTGGGGTTTCCTCAAGAGCAATATATAGAATTTGTTGTTATTCTGATCAGTGAAACTGGAACTATGATAACTCTGAAAATGCTTATTTATGCAATAGTATAATTATTTACATAAGCAGATATTAAGCTATAGCAAAAATGCTTAGCTGATGAAGACGGAGGTCATTGACAAAAGATATGCATGTATAGCAGAAAGATGCTATCCTACATCAGAAACCAATATTTGTATTGCCCCCCAAATGTAACCATAATACAACTTTGCTAATTAATATTTGCTGTCACTGTTATATTTTATTTTTGAGACAGGGTCTTGTTCTGTCACCCAGGTTGGAGTGCAGTGGCATGATCATGGCTCACTACTGCCCCAAACACCTGGGCTCAAGCGTTCCTCCCAACTCAGCCACCTGAGTAGCTGGGACTGCAGGTGTATGCCATCAAGCTGGGCTAATTTTTAATTTTTTGTAGAGATAGGGTCTATGTTGCCCAGGCTGGTCTTGAACTCCTGGGATCAAGCAATCCTGCTTCAGCCTCCCAAAGTGCTGGGATTACAGGCATGAGCCACTCTACCTGGCCTATTTTATTATTTTAGAGACAGGATCTAGCTCTTGTTACCCAGGCTGGAGTGCAGTGGCATGATCATAGCTCACCGTAACTTCAAACTCCTGGGCTCAAGCGGTCCACCCACCTCAGCCTCCCTAGTAGCTAGGACTACAGGCCTGCACCACCATGCCTAGCTAATTTTTAAACATTTTTGTAGAGACAAGATCTTTCTGTGTTGCCCAGGCTGGCCTTAATCTCCTGGCCTTAAGTGATCCTCCTGCCTTGGCCTCCCAAAGTGCTGGAATTACAGGCATCAACCACTGTGCCTGACCCACCATGACTTTAAAAAATAAAATTAGGGGTAGGGAGCTAGAAAATAAATAAATAAATAAAAATTAAAATTAACCTTGCTTTCCCAAAGATTTTTTGTTGTTTGTTTTGTTTTCTCGAGCAACATTTACATAGTTTGTAAAGAGCAAATAGGACTTAACTTTTAAATAAATAATTTATTGGAAAACTCCCTCCTTCCTACTAATACTTGTTAAAAAGCTGGTAGTAGCAATGGACTTCCCAGAACTTGGACTATAACTCTAATAATGCCCTCATTGTCTACCTACAAATTTAAGTATTCATTTAAATTATTTCATAATCTATAAATGTGAGAGCCCCGATAAGGAAATACTGTGCTAGACACCAAAGCATAAAAATAGAAGAGAATCCATGCCTTCAAGGAGCTGGCAGTTGAGTAGGTAGGGCACACAAGAACATACCCTAAAACCCAGTGGCATCAATGTCAGAGCAGAGGTGCTGTGTGTGGGTGAGGCAGGCAGCGTGGTGTGTGTGTGCACGTGAGTGTGAGCGTCCTTGAGTGTGTACCTGTGAGTGTGCATCTCTGTGTGTGCAGGTGCCTGTGTGTATAAGTGTGTCTGTGTTCGTGTGTACGAAGGTGAGTGTGTTTATGAGTGTGGAAAGACACACAGCCTGATTAGGTGGGTCATTCAGGTTTTGCTGCAAAGCCACATAGACCCATCTCGGCCTCAGCTGTTTCCAAAGCTGCCCTGCAGGCCGCCCCCTCCCCAAGAAAGGCCAGAGTTGGGACCTGGAGGTCCTCATGGGTGCGGCCAGCCACAGGAAGACCGCCCCGGGTCAGGGGATGACCTTGCTGGCCGGCTCTGCGTTGGCCATCACTCTTGAAGCCCAGCCCCCAGCCATGCAATGGGGCAGGGGACGAACCGTTGGGACCGACTTTCAGTTCCCAAATTTGGGATCATTTTTTCTTATGTGTTGGGGAGAGGAGGAATAAGGTGGCGGAGAGATCGGGGCCAAGTAGGGCCATTTCTCAACAAAGGGCCGATCCCTTGCCCCCTATCCTTCCTTTGGGGTCCAGACGCGCTGCAGAGAGAGGCGACCCTACCTGCAGCAGGGAGGCTTCGCCCGGAGCCTCCCAGACCTCCGGCACTGCAGACACTGCGCGCGGCGCGGCTCCCGCGTCCCAGGCTTCATTCAGCCGGCGGCCGCCCGCGCACTCTCCCTGGACTCTGAGGCCGGTCTCCAGGGTGACCTCAAACAGAGCCCTCGGCCCTCCCCGGCCGGACTTGGCCGCTGAGTGGCCCTCTGAGCTGCCCTAAGGATGTAGAGGATCTCATCTTCACTGCCCACTGGGGGTCACTCTGAGCCGGGCTGCGTCCTGGGTTGGCGGCGAGCTGGAGGGGAACTGGTTCATTGTGTAGCGAGGAAGACATTTGGGACTAAAGACATTTGCACCCCTAGGGCCCCTCATCAAGTTCCTTTTCCCGCAGACATCAGGGGCAGGAGTGGGAAGTGCTGCGGTTTCCTAGCACAGGAAATCCGAAGCGCAAAGACAAAGTAAAGTAGCCCTGCCCTTTTCCCGGCTCCTAACGCTGCTTCGCACGTTCCCCCTCCAAGGCACAGGCGGTGGAATGTGGAGGTAAATGAGCACTTACATTGGCCAGATACCCCAGATACCGACAAACATTGGGATTTAGTCGTCCCAATAACTCTGTCAAGAAAGGAATGTTTTCCCTTTAAAGGATTTGGAAAATTGAGATTCTAAAATGTTAAATAATATGCCCAAGGCCCCTGAAACTCATGGTCTTAACTCCAATGTGTTACAAACCGGGCTGGGTTCCTTCGCTTTCCTTAACAAGACTCTTCTGAGCCTGTTAATGTCTAAGAAGCTTTGAAATGAGGCTGTTTGGGGTTGAGGACCTACCTGCTGGTATGAATGGGCTTTTCCTCTTCTTCAGCGACTATCCCCAGCCTAAGCCTGGTTTGGGCCTCCCCAAACCAAAAGCAAACAAAATAAACACTATAGGGACCCTCCTGTAGTGGGCAATCATTGGAAGCAGAAACAAGATGCCTCCAAGCATCTAGCCAAGGGCATGGCTCTTGATGAGTGTCCTGCTGGAATTAGCATTAGCTGACAGTAATACATTGGGATTCCGGTGGAGCACAGTGTTAGGATAGTGTTGGAAGAAGAGAAATAGATATTTTTGCCCATCCCAATCTCTACTCACAGAAAGATAAGAACAGGAAAGGATTGTTGATTGAATATCTACTATGGACTAGATAGGAACTGCTAGGTGATGAATAAACATTATCTCATTGAATTTGTTCAGTGACTATGACATAGGGGACATTACTCTATTTTTTTTTAAGATAAGGAAATGTAGAATCGTTGAGTAACATGCTCAAGTCGATATTTAAATCACAGAGCTGAAATTTGTCTAACTCTTAACCCTTGACCTTTGACAGACCTTTGGCCCACCATCCCTACCCTAAACATGGAATGAAGTTTTCCAGAAATGCGGGTAAAATTTTAAGAGGCTGACAGCAAAAGATATTCACAATTCAATTTATTTTCATATTTTTCATTTATTTTCCAGAAAAAGAAATCACATTTCAGTAACAACTTACATATAGAATTAAACTTTGTTCTGGAATGGGAGCCCTAGTTGCAGTAACGTGTCATAATAAATAATTGCATATTCAGGATTTTGTGAAATAGGTGATTGGGAAAATTATGAACAAAAAACATTTACAAAAATTATTATTTACAAAGAGTGATATCCATACTATTTCTAACTTATAAGGCAAGTAATGTTAAGATGGTCTCATGATTATCTTCAACAAGTCAATTACACACTTTCCTGTCACCATTGCCCAGCAGAGAGCTTTGCTGCAATTCTGTGAAGGAGCAAGTAAGTCTTCGCTTCCGTTGTTGGTTTTCTCTTGAGCACAGCATAGAAGCAGTAAAGCTTTCATTACAGACTAAGCAGTAATGGCTGTCAGAAAAAAGTATACTCTTTTGAAATAGACGTGTAGGAAAAAGGCTGGGAATCAACATTTTGACTAAATTTTGAAAGTATCTTGAGTATTTTAATTCACAGTTTTGTAAGTATTTTATGCCCAAGGTATTTTTGTGAAATTATGTACTTAGTACAAGATTAAAAAGAAATTTAGTGTATTTTTGCTACATAGATCAAAGAGAGCTCTAAATAAAGGCTACCACCAAATCAAATTACACACAGCATTTTCCTTAATTGACAGGATTTCATTACCTATAGAAACACAGCAAAATCTTTCTGAGATTCCTAGATTCTTGCATTGTTCAAGTTTAAAAAAAATCAATGCCTTACATGGCCACTTAGTAAGAATGAAAATTAATATCCGAGTATTTAATTCATATGATCTTTTACTATACAAGTGAAAAACAAACAAAAACTCTTTTTAATCGAAAACAATAGTGTTCAAACAGCTTAAAAAGCCAGCTGTATACATTACTGCTTGGCCTGTGGTGAAGCTCTGTTCATAGATAAGATTAATATATCATCATATCAACACTTGGCTTTTTCAAGAAAAATTATTCAGCAGCAATTTTCCAATTCCCCTTAGACAGAGAGGAAAGAGACACACACACACACACACACACACACACACACCCCCACACACACACAGAGAAAGAGAGAGAGAGAGAGAGAGAATATGAATTAGATAGGAGCCAATCTCTTTCATGTATGTCCATTTAACAAAGCAAGAACTAAATTCTGACCTGAAAAATCAACACAGCTATATGAATTATCATTCTAGCAACTTGAAAAGGGAAAAAAATCTGACTTTGGATCTTGGGACAGTGGTTCTTGTGATAGTTACTTGTTGTATGATTTAAAATACCTTAGAGTGATGGTGAATGAATAACATCAAGCATTTACTTTGCGAGAAAAAAAATTCATAAAAGTAATGTAAAACTGAATGAGCGAGATGGAATTAACATTTGTATGATATACTCATTCAATGGAACGTTTAAAAATTATAAATGGCTTATGATCTATCAGGCTGATTCACAAACTCTGGATGGATTAAAAACTGAACTATCTTTAGAGAAATGTAAAGTGATTCAGTTTGATTCTTTTCTATATGATAACAGACAATTTAACCAGGAAGTTTTTAAAGAAACTTCGTTAATTTGGTATAAAAGTAACTGATTGGCAAAGTAAAGCAAAGCAAAAAAAGAAAAAAAAACAGCAAAAAAAAAACCCTATGAAATGCTCATTAAAAGAGTATAGAATCTCACAAAATCTGTGCTAAACAGTGCACTGCTCTTAGCTTTCCCCAAAGTGTTTTTAATATAATTTCTGACAAGCTGATGTAAAAATACTGTCAACATTGATCTATCATGATTCAGTTTCCTAAAGCTGTTTAGTAAAACGTTACTGGAGATTATTCACTGGCATTAATTCCACACGGCAAAGAATTGGAAACATCTTCAACAGATAGGGGTCTGATATGCTGGTCATAGGTGCAAGCCTTAAAAATAATACAAAAATTAAAATAATTTTATTGTTTTGTTTTGAATATTTTAGATGATAAAGTTAAATTCACTAAGAGATACTAATGAAATTTAAAATAGATAACAATTCATTTGAAATGACAGGAATTCTCTTAAAATTAAAACAAAATTCCAGAAGCATTTTTTTCAAAGCATTCCTGGTTATTTTATTTACAATTATTGAAGGATATATAAACTAGTGTTAAAAGAAAACTTTTCCAAAGGTTTCTCAAGGTGTGCTTAGAAAAAATTTTTTTTACCTGATTCAATAACTTTCTTAAGCTTCATTAAAACACTAACATTTATTGTCAATGTCCAAGGAGAGAGAATTATAGTATAGGACCATTTGTTCTCAGACCACAATGAACATCTTCCAGAACACAATTTGTAAAATACTGGAATATTGGTGAGCATAGCCCAAATACACTTTACTTCTTTTCTTTAAAACATTACGGGACATTTAAAAATATATTTGTTTTTTGCCAAAACATTTTTTACAAGGATAAAGATGTATTTAAGGTAGGCAAGGTATTACTCTAGGGATAGAAGGAGGCAGTTAGAAATCAAAGGAAAAATAATTTTAGAAGTTAAACCTAGAGAATAAATTATTATACCCATGGTCAATGCCAACAAATAGGTGTCTTTTCCTCATAGACATACCCATTTAGGAGAGAAATCAGATATTAAATGTGAGGGCCAATCAAGAGGTTCACCATGGTCAACTCAACAGACTTTACATTTGACATTCCTTCATGAAATATATTTAGATCTTAATTAGATGTCAGCAGTGCAACTCTAGCTTGCAGAAGATGACAGAACATTGAAGCAATGACACAAGAGAAAGGCAAGTGTTTTGTTGTTGTTTTTAATATTTAGAGACTTAAGCAATGTACTCCTATCTCATTTTCCTTCCATACACTCCACTGACAAAAAGGAACATTAATGGTAGCCATATTTAATTCATAAGTGAGAGAATGGCATTTAGATACTGTTTTCCACATGAAAAAAAAGCCTAAAGGAGCAGGGAAAATACAATAAAACCTTAAGAGGAAAGTGCACACAGTAAAAGATGGTGAGGCTGGTCATCCAAATAGTCCCTTTAATCAATGTAACTTGGATTGATTTGTTCATTTATATCAACAATCTAATTTGACTCATTGCATGGACACATCATATTATATTAACTTTCAAAGCTATATTTAGAGATCACTCTTGTTTTGATATTATTAAATATAATGTAACACTTCCATTTTTTAAAAAAATTGCTGATCAGAAAACCATGTGGCAAAATGAGTACATTTAGACTGAATGGGATTTTGCTCAAATGTATAATCTTTTGGAAAAGGAAAAGCTTAAACACAGACACATACACACACACTCATCTGTTTAGTATGTATCTGCATATTCTACTGTATTGTTCAATTTAATTTACAGCCTGTGGTTATTTTGAGAAAAAATATTCGTGCAACTCTTTTAGAATGAGGCTACCACATGTTTGTAAAGTCAAAAGCTTACAAAATAAATAGGTTCAACTCACAAGTTAGAGATCTGAATGTCCCTTGCAAAGAAGGAAACATTGATTAGGATTTTGTATTTGAATAAATAACAGCTTGCAACTTCCCTTCTACTTCAAGTCTTTTAAGACATTGAAGAAAAGGACAGAAATATGAAAATGAGAAAATGCATTTCAGGCTACTTTGAGACTGAGATAGTATAACAGAGTAACTTTAAGAAAAAGATAGGGATTTTCCTAGGGAAAAAAATTTTTTAAGATTGGAGGAAATTAAGTGGACTGAATGAAAAATAAACTGACTAGAAAAATGGTTTTCATCTTAGAATTTAATGCTTAAAATCTGATATAATGTCAGAACTAAGAAGGACCTTAGAGATCTACTAGAGCAATGATTCTCAAATTTGGAGCACTTATCAAAATGTATATTCCCAAATCTCATCCCTAGAAGTTTATGCTGTCAATACAAATTTATCGATGCCTACTGTGTATAGCTTGTATGAACTTGATTATACATGTTTCCTTATAATGCCACAAAAGGTGGTATATCTGAGTAAAGTAGAATCATGGAATTTCAGAGATGGAAGACATTGATATGTGGTAGATCATTTTGTGTTGTTACGGTGTTTAACAATGTTTATCAGTGCCTACTATCTTCCAGGCATAGTGGTGACCAAGCCAAAATCATTAATAAGTGATGATACAAAACATTAATAAGTGATGATACCAATCATATTTTGAGAAGCAGTGATTCTTTTTTGACAGTTTTGTTATTGGAATTATCCTTATTTTGGTAATGGTTTTTCATGGTGCCTTCTACCTTGGCATTCAAATGGAGTACGTATAGTGACATAAAACAGATTGTTTTGTTCAGGGTGGACAAAGCAATTAAGGCGTTTCCTTTGCAGTCAGAATAGCTGGGTTACTTTCAGCTGCCGTGTCATTTTGGGGAGATTATTCTATTTAAGCCTCAGTGTCATCACTTGTAAAACAGGAATTAAAAAGAGTACTTACAATTTTTTGATTGATAAGAGAATTAAATGAGCTAATATCTCTAGTGACTGGTACATGGTAAACACTCTGTCAGTTTTTATTGTATATCATTCAATTACTGTGTTTTTACAAGTTTGCTTATAAAGCCTCAAAAGGTGGTTTATCTGAGTAAATTACAACTGTGGAACTTCAGAGTTGGAAGACACATGATAGATCATTGTGTACTGTTATGGTATTTAAACCATGCTCTGGGGAGCCCCAATTTAAACTGTTGGAGAAACTCCTGCATTGCTTTGAGCTGTTTTGCCTACCAGGATTCCATGTGCAATTTTATTAGAAAAAAAGCCCTGCTGTTAAGAAAAGCTTGAAAACCACTGGCAATCCCAACTCCCCATTCTAAAGATGAGAAACTGAAAAGGGCAGTGATTTGTCCAATATCATACGGCAGGAGTCAGTGGCAGAGCCAAGGTATTATAGTTATCTGCTTTTCTAAAAGAAGATTTAGAAGTGGAAATACTTGTAATTATAGCTCAAACACTCTGCTGACTAAGAATATATAAAACAAAAAAAATTCTGTAGTTTGACTGAGGGATTCCTATCTATTAACTCAAAACCGTTTGAATTGTGGACATTCTTTCTTTTACAGGTGAAATATATTCCCAAATACCATACAGTGAATTTCCATTTTGGCTGTGGGTGTAGAGAAGAACACAGCTTTAAAAATGATTAAAAATTTAATTCTTAGTAATTATAAATTTCTATTATGATAAAATTCAGACTAATCCTTGATACAAATTTATTTTTAAAAATTTCACGAAAATATGGATTTTATTGGAAAAGAAAAACAAAATTTCCATGTTGCCAAAATAAAGTAGCATCATTTATACTTTTTATCTTGCTAAAGCAGAACCTTTTAAAGATCATAACGTTCAGGAAATGGTGTTCTGGTTAACTAGAACAATTTCTTTTTGTTTTAACCCCTAGTACTGAAAATAGTTTTATTACCTACTAGTTCATTTTGTTCTGACTTGGGAATAAAATGAATAAATGAATCTGACTTAATGTCTTTGATAACTGAGACTCTTTCATTGCCTGGGACCATTTTCAGGACATGAATTCTTATTCTACAGTACTGTGGATATAGATGTAACAGGAGATTATAATCTACAAAATTAAAAAGAAACAACAAAATGTCAAAATGCAAATCCCTGATACCAGCTTATTGTGTTATTATTTGATCTCTTTTCTGAAAGGTGAAGGGATACATTTTCTATTGAGGTTCTGGTTACTCATAGTTCAATCATTTTGAAATTGTTGACTCCCATTCTGTTCCATAAAGACCAGTTAAGAGATTATAGGATTTCTTCATAGTTTCTAATTTAATCCCTAGAAAGATTTGAATAATGTTAGAGATTACTGTAATCTATGTTTTTAATTAAATTTTTAAAAATCAGTAAAATTATTTTTTGGGAAAAAAACCCTTGTGTTTAATTACTAATTCATTCTAGATCTATACAAAATAAAACAAAATAAAATATAAATACAAAGACATGAGAACCAGTAATATTTACATGTTTTTAATATGCTTTGTATTAATATTCAATTTTTTAAATGAATTGATTACTTAAAAACACATTGTTATATTCATATGCTGGATAATTCTCAGTTTGCTGCTGCTTACTCTCCATTGATTTTGGTGTCATAAATTCCATGTTTCATGGAATTTAGAATTTTGCATTTTCTATTTTGGTTTCAAAATCAAATTGGATACCTTTACATAAAATGAGTATATTTAGTTCGTTCAAAGAAACTTCAACACCAGACTGCTGTAGGGGGCCAACTGAGAGTTTGTTGAATAGTAAGAATTTTCCCATGGTAAAACAAATCATTTTGGACATTCTCTTGGTAGCAAGCACTGATAGAGGAGTACAAAGATTAATTTAAAAAGTTTCACTATAAACAATTGCCAGTCACAATCTCATTTTAGAAGTAAAACTTTAAAAATTTAATTTAATTCTAAAATTTAAAGGGGCTAAAGATTCTTTGTTAAATTTGAGTGGGTGTAAAATGAAATTTAACAACTAATTATAAAAATAATAACTTAATAATTACAGCTATTTAATAGCATAACCTGTAATAGAAATTGGTTTATGTTTAAATAAGTTCTATGACTTAAAGGAAGACTAACATTTTCAGATATTAATGAGGGAAGGTTTTACAACTGAGACTCCCGAAGAAGTTTGTCTTTCTAAATGTTCATATGGCAGGGCCAGATTGAATAATTACAGTTTTTATTATACCTTGCAACGATGAAACGACATACATTTTTGATAACTCTCCTTTTGCTTCTCCAAGAATGGCAAAGATTTACAGTTTTATACAATGAATCCTAATCATCCAAAAGGAAATTTATTACACAGTAATGTGAATAGAATTTCATTTATGAAGCTTATTTTTTCATTCTCAAATGATATAAACAATGATTAAAACTCTCCTTCTGGATCTAAACAGTGGACTTTTTTTTCCCTAAAATTCTCAGTCTCAGCGTTTTGATTCCTGTGGGTAAAGAGGAAGACGTGAGGTATCATTCCCCCATACTGGATGAGTAAGATCATCTATTCAGAGTAACTAAGCAAAAATTCTTAACCAGTTCAACTACGGAAAGTCTTGAAATCTTAAAATCACAATTTTGGTTTTAGTCTGACTGATTATTCAGCAATCCCCACATTTGCGAAACTGTAGAGAGGGGCAAGTAGTTAAGACTTCAACATCTTCTTTACTCTTGATTATAATTTAATATACTTAAACTTTAAATATGAATTGCTTTCCCTTTTTACACAAGTTATAAAAATAAGAGGCCCTGTTTACACAGTTTGCATTTTTATGAAATTTGCAGTTTGAAAAAAAAGCTTTTTAAAAAGTGGTAACTAATGCTTTTCTTTGAATATGCTGTAACCTTAGAATTTTTTTCTGAAATAGTTTCTCAATTTAACCCACTAAACATTTGAAGATAGAGTTTTTATTTAGCACTAGAGTAAAACATACTAAGCATTGAAGAAAAGTAAGTTTGTTTCTTTTTCTTCTGGTTCCACTTAAGTTTCTTTAATATGTGGCACCCCCTTTATGACAGCTATCAATATTATATTTAAATTTTATATATTGACAAAATGCAATCTACCTCTGTAAGCATTGTGCCATTCAACAATACTACTATTAAATTTACATACCACAGTTTAAATTACATCCATTTCAGGAATGGTAAAATGCTAAAACTCAAGTGTCTAACTGCCTTACTGGAATGAGAGTACAATTTACAAATACAATAATTACATTTTAAAACCATTAACAATATTACACCTAGAAGTAAATACTGTAGGACTGGTCATCATGGTAGTGTGTGAGGGAAATCACAGATGAAAGTCATTGACTTTCCACCTGATATATCCCAAGTGCAGATATTGGTTTGTTTTCATCAAACCAAAATTAAAATCTGTTTCTCATACATCAGTTCTCCATTATATGAATCCTCCAAATCCTTGCATAAGATTTCATTAGTTATCTGCCAAGTATTTTCCTGCAAAACAAAACAGCATGTCAACAGGTTATCTGGTAGTTCAATAATGTAATTATTATATGGGTAACTTTTCTATTCCTCCTTCCCTACCCCTAGGAGCCAGATACTGCATACTTCAGAGGTACAATACGAATAAAAGATACATAAAGTTTCCAAATCAATTTTCAGTTTTTCAGATCAGCTAGTTGCCTCTTCACATTTCCATAGATCAACAATTTGCAGAGGTTTGGGGTTTGCCCAGAATAGATTGGGAGATTTATTTCTGGATGTGAGAATCCAACTTATGTTAGAAAGGGTGCTCATAGGCCGGGCGCGGTGGCTCACGCCTGTAATCCCAGCACTTTGGGAGGCCGAGGCGGGCGGATCACGAGGTCAGGAGATCGAGACCATCCTGGCTAACACGGTGAAACCCCGTCTCTACTAAAAATACAAAAAATTAGCCGGGCGTGGTGGTGGGCGCCTGTAGTCCCAGCTACTCAGGAGGCTGAGGCAGGAGAATGGCATGAACCCAAGAGGCGGAGCTTGCAGTGAGCCGGGATAGCGCCACTGCACTCCAGCCTGGGCGACAGAGTGAGACTCCGTCTCAAAAAAAAAAAAAAAAAAAAAAAAAAAGAAAGGGTGCTCATATAACTTATATTCCAATTTGGATCATTTTTGAGAGCGAAAAGGGTATAATTAATAATTACATCAGTACAATAGACATAAAAAAACCAGGATTTATCCCAGCAAATCACTGAAAAGTATAATCACTCTAGTATTAGAGAGTTCCTCTCCCCCAATTGAAAAACAAAATAAAACCCCATTGTTTGTGCCAAATAAAACCTGTCTCATGGCCACATTCAGCTTATGGGTGACCAGTTTTGATCTGTGGCCTAGATTCTTTGAGTTTGTTATTAAAGTGAAAAATAGATTCTCCCAGATCTCAGCTAAACCTGACAAGTCTAAACTCTGTGAAGTCCTGTCAGAGAACAAAAAGTTTTCTGGTGGGAGATAAATTAAAAGGCAAGGCTGGGTGCGGTGGCTCACCGCCTATAATCTTAGTACTTTAGGAGGCCGAGGCAGGCGGATCACGAGCTCAGGGGTTCAAGACCATCCTGGCTAACACGGTGAAACCCCGTCTCTACTAAAATACAAAAAATTAGCCATGCGTGGTGGTGGGCGCCTGTAGTCCCAGCTACTCGGGAGGCTGAGGCAGGAGAATGGCGTGAACCCGGGAGGCAGAGCTTGCAGTGAGTAGAGATCGCGCCACTGCAGTCCAGCCTGGGCAATAGAGAGAGACTCCGTCTCACCAAAAAAAAAAATAAATAAAAATAAAAGGCAAAAAGTATTTGTCTTGTTCGTCAATATAATAAAAGTAGGATTTACTCCATTAACCTCAGTATATACATCTATATAATGGGAACAACTAGCCCCACTTAAGAAACAGAGTTAGAAGTCAGAGCCTCCTGACTTCTGATTTCTAGTGCATTGTCCTATTTCTACTTCATTCAATAATTGGTTGGTTTTCTAATTGGGATGGGGGTTGGGAGTGGGAAAGAGGTGGAGGAAAAAGATGAGAAAATCACAACCTATTCCTCTTAAGAGTAGCCAAGGCAACATTATTTTCGCAAATGAAAAAATCAAGATACTCATTTACCTGCAGCAAACCTTTTCTTGATGAGTGAAAATCGATACCCTGCTCCAACAAGTTCAATGTCACAGCCAGAAAGGGTGCTTCCTTCACTTGTGAACTGCACAACCAATGGAGAAGGTTTGCTTGGGCCTTCAGATAACTGAAATCTTGCCAACAAAGAACCCACCCCTAAAAAAAAACACATTATTACAAGGTAACAGTCAACATAATATTTCGGATATAATTTTGGAGGTTGCATTCAAAAGTTAACGTACAAAATCAGACATGATTCTTTGACAAAATGGTGATTAAATGAGTTTATCATTGAATATTATGAGCAATTCTATTTGCACACTGGTAAAAGTGTACTTCCATGAGATGGTACCTCAAAATTTGAAGACGTGCTACTTGGAAGCCCTTGTATTTTCCAACCTATGATTAATATCTGAGGAGAGTGAAAAATATCTAATCAGGGAGCGTGGAATCTGACACAGGATGGAAACATGCCTCCTTAAGAGGCCTAAATGATAGTTTGTTTGATGTGGAGTCTGTAGAAAAGGGGAAAAAGAGAATTCATTGAAGAATTATTTGCTTTTATTAATTGAAATAAGTAAACGCAAAAATGGAGTGAAATATTCTGCTTGTTTTTATTGCTACATGTTTTGGGTAATAGTTGGCAAATACCTAAAGCCATTTTAGCTTTACATGTTAAATAAAATAAACTTGTGATTCCATTACCTCCATTTTCTGACTTCTGAGAGATATCAGGAATCTTCCACAATATTCTCTGTTGTTCAGCATTCCTAAAAATAAATTAGGTAAAAGGTTTTTGCATATCCAAGAGTTTTTGTTTACTGGATGCCATGTTTTTTTTCCAGATAGTATTAATTTTTTAAAATAGAGCTTGAAAACTTTCACTACAATTTAAAAATTCCCTGTCTCTCTCTCTCCCCTCCCAGACATACATAAATCTCTTTTTTCCTCTGTCCTTATTGTAACTAGCTAGAACACCATGAGATGAACATTGAGAGGACAAAGTAGAATTAATTTTTTTTAAAATAAATCTGCTAAGACAGATACATGGGAAGATAGGAGTGTTAATCAATTAATTAAGGTAATTTAAATTGGGGTCATGATCTGGCTGACATTCATTTTTAAAACAAATTCCACTTTTTGCTTCTGACAGTCGTATGGAAAAAGTGAAATGCTCTTTCTAGAACAAGTCCTTTATAATAGATGATATAGGCACAATGTATCTATTCAGTTTCTAGTCCCATACCTTCTCTAGTGTGCCTTTTTATAGTTCAGAGGCTACAAAATGAAACACTACATTTCTCAGAGGCCTTTGCAGTTAGGGTCCTAGGTACAAATTAGGTTTACCAATTGCATGCACGGTTTGAGATTTAGAAGACAGAAGGGAGACAGAGGCCATTCTCCTGCAGCTTTCTTGACTGTTTTCCTCTGATCAGCAATCTAACTCAGATGTGGGGATCTTCTAACAACAGGAGTCCACTCTAGCCTCTAGTTTGTGGGTGCCAAGAAGCACTTAAGGAGGTACCAATAGGAGCTTGCTGGTCCTAGGATCGGAATTACAGCTGTGGCTTCCTGAATTCAATGGTTCTACCGGTAGCCTTCTACTTTCTCTCCTTCCCGGGATTGTGGCAGGCCAGTTCTGCAGAGCTCTGGGAGGCATTTTTGGAGATCCAGCCTGTTCCTTTAGCACTTCCACCATTGTGTAAGCATTGAAGTCCCTGTTGAATTAGTTTTTGCTTAAAATAGCTACCAGTGGTTTCTATTTCCTGCCCTGAACCCTAATGCACAGGCCTGCTGTCATCTCCTCCTACAGGACACGCAAGTGCTAAGGAGTCTGTGACCTCTTGACCCAGAGGAGCCCTTTGGTGGAGAGAATAGGAGGCTTCATACCAGACTGCTGGTGGGAGCACTGCCTGGAGCTTGGTGACTCCTCCGTCGATGGGGACCAGGAACTGCACATTGTTGAGGGCCACAGCAGTCGTCATTGCATCTGTATTATATTTGTAATCTATGCGCAGGTCAGTGCTTGAAGGCTCACATCGCCAATTCACTGCCAGGTTCAGAGGTGTGGACTGAATGCCCTGGGCAGACACCTTGCCGAACGACAGGAAAGAAAATAACAACATATGACAGGGATGTTCTTAGACATCAAACAAAATGTCATATGTTGTTTATGCTGCTCACAAGCAACCGTGAGTGAGAGGCACCGTGAAGCGTGCTGTGAGAGAGCTGGGTGCTTCAAGTAAACTGTTACAGACTAAAAACACGAAAGCAGCTATTAGAGTCTCGGTGGCACTTTGGAGTTTTCAGTACACTTCGTGTCAGTTAAGGAGGTGGAATAGCATGCTGGCCAGGAGCTGAGGCCAGGAAGCTAGACAGTCCCAGGTGTGAGTTCTGATTCTGCAACTCTACTTACAAGCTGAGTGATCTTGGACAAGTCCCTAGCTCAGAACCTCTCTGAGCTTCTGTACTTCCCTCATCCGCTAAATGGGAATTACAACAATAATATTTACCCATAGGGTTGTCAGGAAGATTGAAGGAGGTGTTTTTTTGTGAAACACTCAGCAGGATGCCTAGCACACACTAGGAATACATTTTGATAAATGTCACCTATTAATATTCTTACCATATTTGCTCTTCAACAACAAACCAGTGAGTTAGACTAGGGTAGGTTAGTATTACTCCTTTGGGATTTCACACCTGGTTTCAAGGCCTTGCTTTGGCAAATCCCAAAGGGAGTAACAGGAAGTTACTTCTAGTTTTTACTTCCTTTGGGATTCCTTTAGCTGGAAGTGCTACAGTGCTAGAATCTACTGTTGATACTAATTAGAATCAGCTGTGAGCTTGACCAAGAAAAAGCCAGGTTTGAAGAATCAACAAACATTTATCTAAAGACAATAATATTGATGTGAATTCTGGGTCCACAGTGAAAAATTCACAGTGTTGGAATTTCTCGATTGTTCGTTATGGTGGTGAATAGGTGTCTAAGAAAGTCACTTCTCATGAGTACATGTACATTGCAGGGATCAGATGAGTGGTGTCTATGCCCTTGGATTTTTATTCATGGACTGTGATGAGCTTTGCTGATTTTGAAGGATATAAACAACTGTCTAGGAAATGCCTGCACATATGATCACCATGGAGAAGGGTCCTGAAGGTAGACTGAACTCTCAAGGCAGGAGTGGTTATGGCAGAAACAAGCCCCCAAATGGATTCTTTTATAAAATGACAGATATGGCTTTTGATGACAATTTAAGCTAGTTAATCATTATAGTTTTTAAACTTTAAATATTATTGGCAGCATAATGCTTTCTGCAGGCAAACATTTATTAAGAAATCTATTAACTAAAGCAGATCAAAAGCAGAGCAGAATCCCCCTCCCCCACCCCTTTTTCTGGACTCTGTCCTCAGCAGTAGTTCTCAACCTGATTATAGTTCCTCTACCTGGGGAGGTGCTTTGTGGATATATGAAAATGTGTTTTTGATCGTCCCAATTTCTGGGGGGATGCTATCGGGCCAGAAACTAAACATGCTGCAATTTAAGGGCCATTTCCACAAAATGCTAGTTGTGCTTCTCCACCCAATTCCTTGCATTGTTGAAAAACAACAACAAAAACACAGCTAAACAACAGCAAAAGGGATTCCTCAGAGAACACGTTAAAATAAAACAGCAAGTCTAGGACTGTTGACATTTCACAAAGTACTTTGGAATATATTAGGCTATTATTAGCTTCTTATAGCAACCTATAAAATAAGTAGATATCATTATTACCCTTATTTGTAGATGAGGAAACTGAAGTTCTGGGATATTAAGCACCTGAGGTCAGTGGCCAGTAGAAAGCTGACTTAATTCTAGAATTCAGTATCTTGCCTACACTTTATTTATTTATTTTAAAAAGTAGAGATGGGGTCTCATTATGTTGCCCAGGCTAGTCTCGAACTCCTGGGCTCAAGTGATCCTCCTGCCTCAGCCTCCCAAAGTGTTAGGATTACAGACATGAGCCACCGTGCGCAGCCCTTGCCTACACTTTAATACTTTACACAAAGCTCATACTGCAATAGGTGAATTCTAATTTCTAGATTTACTTAATAACAAATACGGAAATGAAAAAAACTCTATAGGATTTAATAATTTAAAAAATTTTTTTATCTGAAGTGAAGATGTACATGCAGTGTATATAATTAGAGTCCACGAAGGGAAAGAAGTGCCAACTTATTTGCACACTTTGGGGATGCAAACCATACATGAAAGTTAACTTCTGCCTCGAAATTTAACTTCTCATTCAGAGAAAAAATTACATTTAGAGTTTTCCTTTCTTATTTCCTTTCATTTCTCCCAAAGCATAAAGCAGTCACTAAGCATGTTTAAATATTTTGGGAAGAAGTTAAATAAAATGTGTTTTCTATTATATTTTAATTTGTAAGTGATGAATTTATGCCATATTATATATTTTTTCAGTATTATCCATAATGTTTGAAGAGTATATACTATTCTCACAAGAAAAAATTATATTCTTTTGCATTTCTGGAAAATACACCATTTTATAGATATTTCACTTTAAATGGTTTTCTTACAACAATTTAAATAAATGTTTTCCAAAGCAGAGGATGCATAGACTCCCTTGAGAAACTTATACAAAGTACAGATACCTGGGTGGCATTCTAAACCAATTAAATAAAATTTAAAAAGTATATTTAATATATATATCTGCTAGGTCCTAACACCCCCCAAAATACATATATGTATATTTAATAATGATCTCTACCTATATTTACATATAATACGCAATATATTATATTCACATATAATACGCAATATATTATATTCACATATAATACGCAATATATTATATTCACATATAATACGCAATATATTATATTCACATATAATACGCAATATATTATATTCACATATAATACGCAATATATTATATTCACATATAATACGCAATATATTATATTCACATATAATACGCAATATATTATATTCACATATAATACGCAATATATTATATTCACATATAATATATTCACATATATTATATATTATATTCACATATATCATATTATATTCACATATAATATATCGTATTATATTCACATATATCATATTTATATATTTGCATATTTTATATAATATTTTAAACTATTTGTATAAATATTTATATTTAAAATATTTGTATAAATATTTATATTTAAAATATTTGTATAAATATTTATATTTAAAATATTTGTATAAATATTTATATTTATGAATATAATGTGTTATTTTATATGTTATAGATTGTATAGGTTTTATATGTATCTAGGTTGTATATGTAAATATTATAAATAAATATTTATATTATTTAAATATGTATACACATATATTTCTTTTTAGCATCAATTCAGAACCAGCATTTGATTGAGAAATACAGTCAAGTTTGAGATGTCCTGATTTTTATTAAAGTACAACTTCCTTCATTTGAAGAAAAATAATCTGAACATATTTAATAAAAAATTATAATGCATTAAAAACGTGGTAAATGAAATGAGCCAGGCACAGAAAGACCAATACCACACGATCTCACTCTTTTTTTTTTTTTTTTTTTTTTTTTTTTTGAGACGGAGTCTCGCTCTGTCGCCCAGGCCGGACTGCGGACTGCAGTGGCGCAATCTCAGCTCACTGCAAGCTCCGCCTCCCGGGTTCACGCCATTCTCCCGCCTCAGCCTCCCGAGTAGCTGGGACTACAGGCGCCCGCCACCGCGCCCGGCTAATTTTTTGTATTTTTAGTAGAGACGGGGTTTCACCTTGTTAGCCAGGATGGTCTCGATCTCCTGACCTCATGATCCACCCGCCTCGGCCTCCCAAAGTGCTGGGATTACAGGCGTGAGCCACCGCGCCCGGCCCACACGATCTCACTCTTATGTGGAATATTTAAAAGTTGATCTTGGCTGGGCACAGTGGCACTTTGGGAGGCCAAGGAACGGGGATCATCTGAGGCTGGGAGTTCAAGACCAGCCTGGCCAACATGGTGAAACCCCGTCTCTATCGAAAATACAAAAATTAGCCAGGATGATGGTGCATGCCTGTAATCCCAGCTACTTGGGAGGCTGAGGCAGGAGGATCGCTTGAACCCAGGATGTGGATGTTGCTATTAGCCGAGATCGTGCCACTGCACTCCAGCTTGGGCAACAGAGGGAGACTTCATCTCAAAAAACTAAATAAAATAAAATAAAATAAAATAAAATAACATAAAAATAAAAGTTGATCTTATAGAATTAGAGAGTAGAATGGTGGTTACCAGAGGCTGAGGTAGTGGTGGTGGGGTGGGGTGGGGGTTTGTTTAGAGAGATGTTGGTCAAAAGACACAAAATTTCAGTTAGATGAGAGGAATAAATTCAAGAGATTGATTGCATAAGGTGGTGACTGTAGGTAATAACCATATACTGTATTCCTGAAAAATGCTAAAGTGAATGGAAAGTGTTCTCATCACAAAAATAACTATGTGAGGTAATACGTATGTTAGTTTAGTCATTCCATAACGTACATATATTCAAAATATCATGTTGTACCTAATACAGACATACAATTGTACCTGTCAATTTAAAAAATAAAAAAGTTTAAAAAAATCTAGGGAGTCAGCTGGTGTGGTGGCTCATGCCTGTAATCCCAGCACTTTAGGAGGCTGATGCGGGCGGATCACCTGAGGTCAGGAGTTCCAGACCAGCATAGCCAACAGGGTGAAATCCCGTCTCTATTAAAAATACAAAAAATTAGCAGGGCTTGGTGGTGCATGCCTGTATTCCTAGCTACTCAGGAGGCTGAGGCAGGAGAATCGCTTGAACACAGGAGGTGGACATTGCAGTGAGCCAAGATTGTGCCACTGCACTCCAGCCTGGGTGATAGGGTGAGACTCTGTCTCAAAAAAAAAAAAAAAAACCAAAAAAATCTAGGCAGTCAAGTGGCTGGGAACCAATGAGAGACTCAGGCACTATCAGGATCCTGGTATGAATTAGGCTTATTTAGTATATCAATAATAATTTGAGATAAGGGCAATTCTAGATACAAAAAGAAAGTTCTCATATATTGTAAGTATCAAACATTCCTTTATTATTGAACTATTTCTTAGTGTTAGATTTTATTAGAATTCTTTCATAGGACTATCTTACTAGAAAAACAAAAGCAGATTGTGTACCTTGAATCATTTAAAATAAGAGGTTTTAGTATAGTAATGTTCTTAACAAAATTATAATCATCTTGTTTATCAATATAAACTTATAATCTTAATTAGTATAATGTTTTGCAACTTCATTTTTTTGTGGCACATTTCTCTAATTTTGTGATAAAATATTTTACTTGTAAGCTTAAACTAATAAGAATATGTATGAATATTTTTGTCAGTAGTCCCCAAGTTATCTTTTAAAGTTTCCATTTAAAAAAATGAGTTATAGCTTTTAAATACTGTTAAAAGAAGTGTTACTTTAGTTACTTTTATTCAATAGTAGGTACTTTAGAAAACAAATATGTCATGTGGAAGAGATACCGATCATGTAAATAGGCTTACCTGATATTTGAGCATGTCAACGTTATAATATGTAGCCTGGGGTTTTTGTTCAGACACTTTCTTTAGGTGAGTCATCAAATTTGGCATGTTTACCCAGAATTCCTTGGTATTGGCATCATTTTGTGTATTATCACTGTTCATTTGGGAAGAAAAATGATTGAGTAGCATCTTAAAACAAATATAAACCCTACACGAAGCATCTTAGCAAATTGTCGTCTGATATGTACAGCCATTTTTTGACAATTTGTAGAGATTATTATGAATCTATTAACAGTAGTGTGGTTTTCATACAAATACAGTTCTGAATGCTATGGTGTTGGTAGATTAATATCCACGAGGAGGAGCTACTGTGTTGCTATCAATCTCAGTGAGTGCTCAGTAATATTAACTAATTGCGATGATAATTGGGAGCTTTAAAGAGTGAATTATTTATTAACTCAAACTTAATATCCCTTTCTATGAAACCAGCTTTGTCTAAATTAGTCAGTTAAGGCAATTAAGGAACTGAATACGTTTATTTACTTTTGAATTACTTTGACCAGTAGTTTCTCAGAAATTATCCAGTGAAATATTTGGCCAAATGTAAACATGGTCTTTATCACCAACTAAGCAGAAAAGAGTGATACTAAAATTACCATGCTGCCTTTTCAGCATTCATAATATTTCATCCATGAGCATTTAAATCATCAAAGATTTCACTTCACTTATAAGATGATCCTGGAGTTTAAATGATAATTTTGGTAGTTATAATACAGAAGAAGAGCAGAGTCTCTATAAGCTAAGAAGTTTTATATCCCTATGAGAGTCTTAGCTTTGCTCAGAGGCCTGTATACAGACCACTTACCCAATCTATCTTGCAAATGCTCATCTCAATGATAAAAAGAATCAGGCAAGAGTGTACAAACATATAACTCATTTCCCGTATAATGAGGAAGCTGAGGCCACAAGTGATTCAGTTACTTGTCACACACATTTGCTGACAGTTCACTTTCAGAATATCCTATATAGTGCAATAACAGTAGTTACAGTTTCTTAACCACCTATTATATGCTAGGCATTATAAACTATTTCATTAAAATCTACCCTGCAAAGGAAGAATTATTGTCTTTGTTTTTAAAGATGAGCAAACTTGTTAAAAAAAAAAGAGAGAAAATTAGGGGTTGAGAAGAGAGAAGGCTGATACAGTGAAAAAGTGAAAAGACAGGTCAAAAGTAAGTTGCTATGATTCAGCCTCCAGAAGTCTCATAAATCAAGAAAGCTGAGTAAAAAACACCAGGGCTTTAAAACTGTCACTGATCTGTTAGGAAAGAGTGGCCAAGTCTCAGTGTGACCAGTGTGGTTTTGCTGTCCCTGGATATAAAGTTATTGAGGATGAGGCAAAGCTCTTTGGCCCTGGAAATGGAGGAAGGGGGTGGAAAATACACCTGGTCCTTAAGACTTTGCCCCTTTTCAGTTGAGCTAGGGATGCTGGTAAGGGCTATCTGAGTTTTTTTAAATTGAAAAGCATCTAAGTTACCCAAGCTCCCAGAGCTGTTGCTATACAAGCAGGCAGGAGGTAAGAGTAACAGAGGGTCAGTGAAATTAAATAATTTGCTTAAGGTCATGCAGCTAATAAGAAACAGCCAGATTCCAGCCCATATCAGTTCTACAAATAACACTTTCACACCATGCCAAAATAGAGGTTCAGAATTAATATCTAGCAACATGTCATTAATTTGTACTAAGTAGATTTGAATAACTGGGAAACCCTCAATTATATAATGCTATTTTAAAGAAATACATTTGCTGAGATTAATAGCAAAATAAGCTGTCATAGGTCTGTGATAATTTCTTAGAGAACCTGCTTTAATAAATATTCAAGAAAGCTTTGCCAATCAAATGCTTACACAGAGATGGAATTCTTAAATGCTCAAGAAGCCTTGAGCATTCTTCAGTCTCATACTTGAGTTGACAATTGTTCCCGCATATTTTTTACAAGCAAACTTTTTTCACAAGAAAAAAGTAGATGTAAATTTCAATTTGGCCCCTGTCATAGGGATTGCAAACTGAAATGTCTCCAGGGGCCATGGTGACATATGAAGTCTTCTTCAGTAAACATTAAGGAAACAATTGGCTGATGATAGACACTAAAGGCTGGTACTGCAATCTAGAATCATGCTTGGTCAACAATGCCTTTTTAAAAAACTGGGGATGGTTGTGGTGGTTGAGGTAGTGGAGTGGCACTGCATAACGAAACTAAAGAGTCTATAGATGACTAAAGGGTCACTCATCACAGCCCTGTTACAGTGATCAAGTAGAGTTCATAAGATCCAAATTAATGGGATATATTTTATTTCTTTTTTTTTTACTTTTGTAAATAATAATTTAAGGGTCTATATAATATTTTGTTAAGCAAAACCACTTTGAGTGATGTTTGATTCTATGTATAAGACCAGTATGTTAATATATGTATACAACTTTTGCACATATGCCTAAGAACTTGGCAACATAACTGCCTAAAAATGCAATGCAACAAAAGCTGTAACTATGACACCAGTCATATTTACAAACAAACTGGCAAGATATTGGCACATAATTCCTAATTTCAGATGGAGGAACCTTGAAAAATAAACTGGCTCAACGTGCACAACCAAAAAATGGAGGGAAACTGAAGCAAGAATTCGAATTAAGAGACTTTTTCCATTCCCTCACGGTTTGCACAGTCTTGTGGGGGAGATGGATGAATGAAGAAACACAAATAGATATGTCATTATTAACTGTAGTAAGTGCTACAAAGGAAAAGAACAGGGTACCTTTAGAGAGAATAACAAGGGGACAGAATTTATTACGTTGGCACAAAAGGAATTACGGTTTTTGTCATTTAAAAGTAACGGTAGAAACTGCAATTACTTTTGCACCAAGCTACTAGTTTGGGGCTGGTTGGTGGGGGTATGGGGAGGAGAATGGGATAGTCCAGGAGGCAGAGTAGAGCTGAGACTAAAGGATGAGTTGGAGTCAGGTGAAGAAGGTTGAAACAGTATTCGAGGCAGGGGAAACAAGTACTACAAAGCCCTGTTGTGGGAAAGGATGCAGCCTGTTTCTGAGATTGGCAGGTCTGGCTGGAGCTAAAAGGATTCTGAGGCAGGATGGTGGGAGATGAGAATGGAGAGGCAGACAAGGGTAAACAACTCAAGGCCTCAAAGGCAATGGTAACAGGTTTAGATTCTGGGACAGGTGTAATGCGAAGCCACCAGGGAGTTGTGAACAAAGGAGACCTGATTTACTCACAAAAGACCACCTGGCTGTTGAAATGTATTGGAGAGGGGCAAGATTGGATTCAGGGAGAGAAGGCAATTGCAGTGGTATGGGGAAAAGACAGTGGTCACTTGGACAAGGGAGGTGGCAGTAAAGAAAAAAGTGGCCACTTCAGAGAGAGGTTTGTAGATGAACATCAGGACTTGATGGAGAAGCTGTCAAGAAGACTTCTTTCAGCTCATTCACTGCAAATAATTAACTTGTATAATTGATCATTTTAATAGCATGCATGCATGTGGGTTTGTGTGACTGTGCATATGCATAATAAAGACATCAAATTCAGGTTTAATAGTTAGAAAATGTGAAAAATTACATTGATATAAACATATTTGCATAAGTTTCTTTTATGTCATACATGTAAAATTCCATCAAAACAATGATCATTACAATGAAATTGTATTAACTATTAAACCTGAATTTGATGTCTTTATTATGCATATGCACATGCACAGTCACACCTACACACACAATTGATTTAAAAAGAAGGCCAGGCGTGGTGGCTCATGGCTGTAATCCCAGCACTTTGGGAGGCCAAGGCAGGCAGATCACTTGAGGTCAGTAGTTTGAGACCAGCCTGGCCAACATGGCGAAACCCCATCTCTACTAAAAATACAAAAATTAGCCAGGTGTGGTGGTGGGCGCCTGTAATCTCAGCTACTTGGGAGGCTGAGGCAGGAGAACCACTTGAACCCAGGAGGCGGAGGTTGCAGAGAGCTGAGATGGTGCCACTGCACTCCAGCCTAGGCAACAGAGCAAGACTCTATCTCAAAAATAAAATAAAAATAAAAAGATGCTCATACAATGAAAGGATTTTATTCTTGTTATTTGGCTCATTTCCCACCATTGTCATCCACTGTCTGTTGATAATGAGTAAAACAGACGATGAACAAACTGTTGCTGATACAGATTTTCTTACCCTGTCTCTCTAACCACTTGAGATAGTTGGCCATTAAAACACGTATATGCATATGCAGTCACACATTCACACACAACCACCCACAACAAATTTTGATAGCTGGTAAAAGTTCTGTGCTTGAATCTACAAATATATCTGAGTGGTGGTAATTTCACTATAGTGCGACCCTGTTGCTAAGATATATCCCTCATCTAAGTACAAAGTACTAAGCCACATGTATCTCTGAAAAATTTATGCAAAATCATATTTACCAGCAGAGAAGTTGGGGGTTTGGCAGGACGTGTTCTAACCTGCTGAAATTTATCACCCGAAAAGTCAGAGCAGCTGGGGACGGGTTGTTGGCAAAGTGTCTGGTGATGCCAGCAGGAAATGACAACACCATTTCTCCGGTAATCTTAACGATACATCTGGCATATCAAAACACAGAGAGGAAAGAGAGAGAAAATCCATGTCAATACACTGAATCAAAACTGCTGTGAAAAACAATTTATGAGGCAATGTTAAATAGCAGAAGAGATAAAAGGCAGGCTCTTACAATTCCATTAAAAAATACTTTAACTTCTATTTTAGGTTCAGGGGTACATGTGCAGGTTTGTTATATAGGTAAACATGTGACTTGGGGGTTTGGTGTACAGATTATTTTGTCACCTGGGTACTAAGCATAGTATTTGACAGTTTTTTTTTTCTGAACTTTTCTCTTCTCCCATCCTCCTCCCTCAAGCAGGCCCTAGTTTCTTTTGTTCCTCTCTTTCTGTCAACATGTTCTCATTATTCAGCTCCCACTTATAAGTGAGAACATGTGGTGTTTGTTTTTCTGTTCCTGTGTTGGTTTGGGAAGGATAATGGCCTCCAGTTCCATCCATGTTCCTGCAAAGGACATGATCTCATTCTTTTTTTATGGCTGCATAGTATTCCATGGTGTATATGTAACACATTTTCTTTATCTAGTCTATCATTGATGGCCGTTTAGGTTGACTCTGTGTCTTAGCTATTGTGAAGAGTACTGCAATGAACATACCAATGCATGTGTCTTGATGATAGAATGATTTATATTTCTTTGGGAATATAACCGGTAATGGGATCTCTGGGTCAAAGGGTAGTTCTGTTTTTAGTTCTTTGAGGAATCACCACACTATTTTCTACAATGGTTGAATTAATTTACACTCTCACCAGCAGTGTATCATTTCTAACTTATCTGAGAACTCAATGGTCAGCACTTATTTTAAAAAGTGACTATTTTGTTTTATGTGTTTTGAAATGTAAGAAGAAAAGTACAGCTTTTCTCTTTCTGTAGAAGTCTATAGCTTCACCTCATGAATAGAATCCTCTACTCTGGTGGTTCTCCCTCACTTTGATTTCTGAATCTTTGGCAGCATATTTGAAGATAGTATATTGTACAATGTTATCACATTATTTCCTGGACTTGTCTTACTTAGCTCTTCGAGTAACATGAGTAATGCCTTTAGCATGTTGTTTTATGTACTCATGAGGTAAAGTTTTTGCCTTGCACTTAACTAGTTCTTCATTCCATTAATTTGTCTATTTGGTCAAAATTGTAAACTCAGTCATATAAGTTAACACAATGGGATGATAGCGTGGAAGGAAAAACAATTCTTTTTTTTTAAAAAAGGCTTTATGAAGATATAATTGATATATAATAAACTGAACTTATATACAGTGTAAAACTCCATGAGATTATATGATGTAAAATCATCATACAATTAAGAAAATGAACATTTCCATCATCCCTGAAAGTTTTCTTATGCTTTTTTGCAATCCCTTTTTGTAATCTCTCCCACTGCCTCCTTTCCCTGTCCCTAGGCAAGAGTTAATATGCTTCACTATAACTTCATTTGCAATTTCTAGAATTTCATATAACAGAATTGTAAGGTGTGTGATTTTTTGTTTCTTTCACTGCACATAATTATTTTGAGACTTGTTCATGTAGTTGTGTGCACTAATAGTTCATTTCTTTTTGTGGCTGTGTAGTGTATGGGTATACCACAGTTTTAAAAAATACATTCACCTACTGAAGAACATTTGGCTTCTTTCCAGTTTTTGCCTATTACAAATAAAGGTGCAATGAATACGCGTGTACGGGTATTAGTATGAATATACCCTGTCATTTCTCTTGGTAAGTACACAGGAGGAGAGTCACTAGCTCACATAATAGGTGTAGACTCTCAAAGAAACTGCCTAACTGTTTTCTAAAGTGGAAAATACAGCTGTGCATGAGGGTTTTAGTTCTTCCACATTCTCACCAACACTTGGTAGAACTGATCATTTTAATCTTAGCCATTCTCATAGGTGAGTAGTGGTATCTTCTTGTTGTTTTAATTTGCATTTCCATAATGGCTAAGGATCATCAGCATCTTTTATGTGCTTGTCATCAGTTATCCTCTGCTTAAACTGTCTGCCAAGTTTTTAAATAGGGTTGTTTGTTCTCTTATTGAATGTCAAGGTTTCTTTATACATTCTGGGAATGTCATTTATCAGATATATAATTTGCAGCCCAGTCTGTGGCTTGTTTTGTTTTTTCTTTCTCTTAAAAGGACATTTGAAGAGCAGAAGTTTTTAATTCATCAATTTATTCTTTTATGGGTTATATCTAATCCAGTCATTCTTTCGGTGTCTTATTTAAGAAATCTTTGCCAAACCGAAGGTCACAAAAGTTTCATTTGTATTTTCTTTTTCCTTTTTGAGACAGGATCTTTCTCTGTCACCCAGACTGGAGTGCAGTCGTGTGAGCATAGCTCACTGTAGTCTCAAACTCCTGGCCTCAAGCAGTCCTCCTGCCTTGGCCTCCCGAACTGCTGGAATTACAGGCATGAGCCACTGCAACTGTCTCACTTATATTTTCTTCTAGAAGTTTAAAAAAAAATCTTTGAGTTTACATTTAGCTTCATTACCCATTTTCACCTATTTTAGTCTTACAATGTATATAGTGTCAAGTATGGATCTCAGTTCATTTTGTGTGTGTGTGGATATGAATATCCAGTTGTTTCAGCATCATTTTTTTGAGAAGACTGTCCTTTCTCCACCGAATTACCTTGAAAATTTTGTTGAAATCTAATTGCCCTTATCTGTGTGAGTCAATTTCTGGATTCACGATTCATTCTGTTCTATAGATTTATTTGGTCTATTTTTTAAGCCAGTATTGCACTGTCTTGATTACAGTAGCTTTATGATAGTTCTGAAATCAAGTAATGTTAGTCCTCTAACTTTGTTCCTTTTCATAGTTGTTTTCGCTATGGTAGGCCCTTTGAATTTCCACATGAGGTTTATAATCACCGTGTCAATGTCTATATAAAATCAATCATTGCCTCCCCGTTCCAATTCACCCTTTACTGACTGCTCTGAGAAAATTAACGGATCTTTATTGTATTTTTCTCTTTGCCTGCAGGAACCATGCTTAGTTTTGTCAGTAGAGGGCGCTAGAGAGACATTGCAGGAGAAAGGGGTTTTCCTTCACCCTTCCAGCCTGCTTGCAAATGCAGGCTCTTGCAATGCACAAGGCTTACGTAGTGCTAGGTTGTTGAAGTTACAAGAGGCTTGTGTGTGGCTCCTGCAGTGCATGTAGTGTCCCCAGAGTGTAGGTTTTGCAAGCCATATAACTCTGCCAGTGCCTGGTAGCACAGACAGCTTTCCTGTCATCTGACTCATGTAGTACAACTGGCTGGGCTGCCACAATGCCCAGATCTTGCAATGCAGATGGATTCTTTTCCAGCCTCCTGCCATGTTCACACCTTCTCCACTGCCATCTTCTGCAGTGCATGGTGGCGGCAGCACCCATCAACCTTAGCTTCCCCTGGCAATTCCCTCGGCCAGTTTTGTAGTAGAGTGCCTCAGTGAAACACCTTCCCATGAGCAGCTGGAAGTCAGCTGGGCTCTCCTTATGCCAGGCCTGAAAACTCTCAAGCAGGTAAGCTGGAGCAATCATAGGGCACACCTCCCCTTTTAGGGATCACTGCCTTCGCCTGAAGTCCAGTGTCTTGCAAGTCATTGTTTTATATATTTTGCTTATTTTTAAGCTGTTTGAGGTAGAAGGGTAAATTGGTCTGTTACTCTACCTTGGCTAAAGCAGAAATTTCACAAGGATTTTATTCTTCTTTGGGACACAGTAAATGCTTAAAGTGAGTGAGCTTCTTTATGATTTCCTCCAATGTCTCCACAGCTGACTCTTGTAGTACTTCACCTCTAAGTTCAGGTATGTACTTTCTGGGGAAATTGATGTTAATAAATGAAAACTTTGCTCACATTGGAGCATGGAGACTCCACGTTGTCCTACAGTCACCTTGGATATTGTGTAACTCTAATGGATGAAACACACATGGTTCAGGTGAGGTGCTGTCTGGCATACATTCAAAATAGCTTAAATGAGGAACTGCTATAACCTTGTAGGTATAAGGCTGGGTTTGGGGCAGAGATTGGGAGCAGATGAGCTTCTTAAAGATGCCATGTGAGCCTCCCTCACTCAGGTGTTAAATCCATAACTTTGTAGTGCTCTGAATGGGATTTTTGGTTTCTGGAAGTTTGCATTTCCATCTCTCCTGGAGAACACTGCTGACCTCCCAGTTTGGGAGCAAACTGCTGTCTTCCTTCTCTACCTTTTAGATCCATTAACCCTGTTTGTATACTAGTGCCAAATTGGTTCTGAACCTTGATTTCCCCTCAAGCTGAGTCTACTCTTGATATTTGTCCATATGTGGACATGTAGAATATTGTTTGGCAGCTATTAGAAAACAATTAGAGCACTTATAAAATTAGATTTCAGCACCTACCATCACTTAGAATATTGTTATTAGCAGTGGTGGCTCAACTGTTCTTTAACTGGTAGGGAATTTTCTCAGTTTTCTTGCCAAGTTGCTCAAAATGAGATCTAAATGGTGTCTTGGTAGGAGATAAAGTTTCTGTTTTGAAAGCAAGTCAGACAGGGGAGGAGGTGGCATTTATTAACTCAACAGGCATCTGTCTATTCACTCCTAACTATGCAAGTTGTTCTTGTTATTTTTTCCAGTGGGGTGGTAATTTAAAAATGAGCAAAATAGCCTCTGCTTTCAAAGGGCTTACAGTGTTGGGTAGAAGGTGGGAGAAGTAGTCCACGTAGTCCTGTGTAAGAAGCACTGAGGCCTCAATTACATTTCAGCATCACAACTGTCAGAGCCAGAACTTTTGCTGACTTATTAATCCATCCAGTGTCTAAATTGACCTGAAATTTTCTATATAAAAATTTAATATTTTCTATACTCACCAAAGAATTTTTTTTAACTTAAGGATTTTTCCTACCAGTATGCAAGGTGGCTACATTTCATGTGAGTTTGAATGGTGGAAATAATGTGAGATGGAAATATGAATAGATGCTTACTTCATGAATAAAATAAGAAATCATGTGAATCCTCACAAATGAAACATTTGTCAAAAAATGGCAAAACTTCAAAGTCAACCAGCCAAGTGACTTATACACTGGATTTTCCCTAGCTGGTCACAGAAACACTGGCCAGTTTTGTTCAGGGAATGTGTGAGGTCATCAGAGATGCATCTCTCTCATAAAATACAATTTATATGTACTGCTAACAAAACCCCTAGGTCTGTTTCTCAGTGTACATCTGTGTAGATGTAGCTTCTCTTCTTTTCTTTACAATTCCCTTTCTTTGGCTTATGTACTGCTTTTCATATTACAAGACTAAGTTCAAAAGAAGGCCTTTCCGAAACATTTCTTAATATCCTCTCCATTTAGCCTTCCTTGGTTTCTCCTTTCTCTGGGTTTGCTTGGAGATAGGTACAGATCTTTTTCTAGGAAATTATGTTGCAGTTTCACGCACATCTTATCTACTATTGTGAAGACAAGTTCTGGGTCATAGGTTCTGGGAAGGCAACGGTGCATAATGTAGAACTCAGAGTAAGAACTCATTGTTTAAAAAATAAATTCATACATTTATTTATTTATTTATAGGGTGCCTACACAATATACCAGGCACAATGTAATGTGCTAGATTTGGCAGTGACAAATTGGACAAATGGTCCTTGTGCAAATTTCTAGTTTAAACTGGAAGACAGATACTGAATAAATAATTAAAATGTGATGATAAAAGAAGGATAAGAGAGAGCCGAGTAACCTAAGCTTTTCTAGGGAATTAGAGAGTTAATCTCTGACCCTTGTTTTTAAGCACCAATGTTCTTTAAATAGGAACTAATAGCGGGAGATGTGTTTCCCCAATCAGTAGCAAAGGTAAGGAATTTGCTGCCTGTGAGCTACTGAGAAAGTCTTACATGTCAGAATACCTGTTATGGGTGCTCCGAATATTTACAGTATAACTATATTTAAATGGGTTACATATCATAGTATATAAAAATTAAGATAGTAGATTTCTGTTCCCAATGGATGGTCTGAGAACAAATGGCTTTGATGCAGGATGACAGGGAACTATAGACAAAATCAAATCCAAATGCCTTTGCTGCATCATTTCTCTGTTTGGTACCTTGGCTGGCATTATTTCCACCTGGTGATAGAACTTGAGTTGTTTCCTTGAAAGTGAGTGATAAAGGAAGAGCAATTAAAATGGTTGCTGAAGATGAAATTAAATATATGAGTGTCATTTCATGATTCATTTATAAGTTTCTGATTTCAAAATTTTAATGAAATAAATTGGATCTCCCACCTACCAGCATAGAGGATATCCTACAACTATTTATGGCAATAAAATTAAAAACAGATTCCATATACATCCACAAGTCAAAGACTCAGTTAATTTAGAAGGGTATAGGAAAAACACTAATATTAATTTGGCTCAAGTGCCATGTCATTGGAATGCCAAGGCCGCAGACATCAAGCTTACAGGTGCAGACTACCCTACACGCCTGTCATAGTGTATTGGGAAACTGAACCAGGATGAAAACCCTGGCTTATATTGTGACAGGCCGATGGGACAGGCTGCTGTACCACTTATTGGAATTAAAAAATACGTTAATAACGGCTTCTTAACTCCCACTGCACCATATTTACACCTGTTCTCTGGTGCACTTGGTATTATATTTATGCACAAGTCCTATTTTCCATATGAGCTGTCTTTATCGCCAATATATCTCCTGTCTAGCACAATGGCAGGTACATAGTAGCCATTTTGTAAATATTAGGTGAGTAATTCAATTCAACTTGTTCAGCAAATATGCCTTGTCCTGTTTAGCTGAGGACACAACAGTGAACCAAACAGGCAAAATCCAGCTCTCATGGTATTTACATTCTAGTGGGGGAGAAGACAAATAATGGACAACAACAACATAAAAGATGTTAGAGAGAAGGGCTATGGAGACAGAGAACATGAGGTAAAGAGGAAGAAAATGTTGACGGGGTGGGGAGCGGTGTTGTTATTTTATATAGGATGGACAAAGAAGGTCTCTTTGATAAATTTACTGAAGAATCATGAAGGGAATGAGGGGACAAGTCACTCAGAACCTAGGAGAAGATTTCACGAAGGCAGAAAGTGAAGCAAATGAAAACCCATGAGGTGCAGGTGGGTTGGGGTGATGGAAGAGAGACGCCATGAGGCCATGTGGCTAGAGTGGAGTGAATATGGAGGTGAGGGTTGGAGGCACGGTCAGGGATAAGGAAAGGAGTGATGGAGATGGGATCAGAGACACGGCCACGGGGTGAGGCTGGGGGAGTCTCGAAGGGCAGATCATGGAGGGTCTTGTAAGAGTATTATGAAGCATTTTGTTTTTACTTTGAACAAGATGGGAGGATTTTGAGCAGAAGAGTGACATGATATGTTGAGACTTTGTAGGGGTGCAAAAGCGGAAGAAGGGAGACCAATTAGATCTCTCTGAATAAATTAGTGGATGAATGAATGAAAGCCAATTAGGAAGCAGACAAAGATGAATTCATTCTTGTGTGATCCCCAGCGGTTTTCACTCAGGTATATACATTCACTCCTGACTACTCTTATTTTTCAAAAGGGCAATTCTGGCCAGGCACAGTGGCTCACGCCTGTAATCCTAGCTCTTTGGGAGGCCAAGGTGGGCAGATCATTTGAGCCCAGGAGTTCAAGACCAGCCTGGGCAATATGAAAAAACCCCGTCGCTAAAAAAAATACAAAAATTAGCCGGGTGTGGTGGCATGTGCCTGTAGTCCCAGCTACTCGGGAGGCTGAAGTGGGAGAATTGCCTGAGACTGGGAGGTTGAGGCTGCAGTGAGCTGTGATTGTGCCATTGTGCTTCAGCCTGGGCAAAAAAGTGAGACCCCATCTCAAAAAATAAAATAAAAACATAGAAGGATGTTTCTGTCTGCTTTTCTCAATTCAGGCCAACGTGATTTTCTAAGGTATAAGGTCAGTAGTCAGTGATAAATTTTCTTAGAACTGGAATAACAGAAAATTATGCAAATTCTTTGTCCAAAGAAGATTCTACAGAACAAATACGTATGAATAAAGCATATCTACAGCTAACGCTCATGATGTCTACTTGCCTTAACAGTTCAGACGTATGCTCTATAGGAGGTAGCTTGTGATTTCTATTGATATGGGGATGTGGCAAATGGCCTTTCTGTTTTGAAGATGAAAGAGAAAAGACGTGGAAAATCCAGGGTCCACAGTGCTTGTTTCTCTATAATATTCTGGGCATAGAATGAAACCTAGATGTTGTTTAAAGAGACATGAAGTTGAAAGATCCTAGTGGCTGGCTAGTACACTTAAAGGTGGAGTTACTAATTGTATTAGTTTTCCAGTATAATATTGTTAGATTTCGAGTTTTACGTCTAAAACTAGTGTTTCTGAAGTGTCGAGAGGATTCATGATTAGTTATACCAATTTCCACTTAAAATATATATGGAGATCCAAGTTCTAATTATATTTAATTATCACTGTTTCAAAAAATTTTTATAGTATAGTCTAGTGTTCTATATACACATCGACTTTTTCTTCTCCAGTTTTTAAAATTGTATTTATTTTTCTGAAACAGGGTCTTGCTCTGTCACCCAGGCTGGAGTGCAGTGGTGTGATCATGGCTCACTGCTGCTTCTGCTTCCCAGGTTCAAGCAACCCTCCCACCTCAACTTCCTAAGTAGCTGGGACTGCAGGTGTGCACCACCCGCTCAGCCAATTTTTGTATTTTTTGCAGAGGCAGGCTCTCCCTATGTTGCCAGGGGTGGTCTCGATCTCCTGGCCTCAGCAATCCTCCTGTCTTGGCCTCCCAAAGTGCTGGAATTACAGGTGTGAGCCACCATGCCTAGTCTCCAGTTCTTATTGTCATAAATATTAAGTTTTTCAAAGCCCTAGTCTTTGTAAGTAAAAAAATTAAAAGCAATTCTTTCCTCACTTAGGTTTCCCCTTTATTGATCAAATTCAGGCCTGGAATTATATTAATGACACTATTGAAAATAAGTCTGACTTAGTTGTTTAGTTTTTGGTGTAGATCACTAATCACTTTTAATCTTTTTTTGGATTACAAATCTCTTTGTTAAGTGATAAATGTTATTATAGACTCTTTTTATAGAATAATGCACACATGCACACACATAAAATACACAATATAATTTCAGGGAAACCATTGATTTTCTGAATCCTATCCATGGAATTCCTTAGCAAGAGGCCAAATATTTAATTACATCACATATGCATTCAGACCAAGTCCATTGTCAGTATGTACATGTATAAGTGAAATCAGGCTCATGTAAATAGAAAGTGGTGAATTTTCCCTAGAATTTTTACTTTGCTCTGTTATAATTTTTTCTTTCTCTTTCATTTTTGGCCAGTTTTTCCTTATTTAGTAGGGGTCACAGAAAATTTGTTCCCTTGCTACTTCGTGTGTTTTGAGAAGGTGTTTTTTCTTTCATGTTCTCATCCCAGTGAACCGTTGTTTTAATTTATATGTGGGTGATTCCTGTCCAGGAAAGATTAAGACAATAAAAGACATGATCTGCACATTTACTTTTGTGAGACAATAAATTTCCTCATTGTTGACAGACTGGGTTAGAGTTTTCTGTTACTTGCAACCAAAGCGGAATCAAAGATTTCTAGATTTCTAGAGTAAGTTCTCTAGAACCAAAATGGAATCAAAGATTTCTAGAGTAAATTCTCTTGATACATTTTTTAAAAGCATGAAATCAATATTCCTAATGACATTTTCACCTCTCTCCTAGCTGTGCCATCTACTATTGCTAACTGAATTATTTTTTGCTTTTTAAAAGAAAAAATGAAAAGGTTGTATTTAGGCTGTTCCACACTCAATAGGACAGAACTCAGAAAGTACAATGGACCAAGTATCAGGCTTACTTGCTTGGGTCTGCTCCTTTGAAATAGGCATTGACTGTTTCTGTAAATGCTGCTGCAACAGGGAGAGTGTCCTGAGCTCCCATGGTTAGGGGGCTGGGTCCCCTGGAAGAACCTGCATGAAATGAAAAATTTTCATTTATTATGAAAATAGGAGACACTTTAGTATATGTGAAATTAAAAGCCCATTAAAGGATTAAGGAATAAAATCTACCCCTTAATGTAAAACAAAATGTGCTAAGAACCGTAACTCTGTATATTCAACATAGAGCTCAAGTATTTAAAAGGAAATATTTGGCTGGTTTACAGACAAACACACTTGAAATTAATTCAATTATGTATTTTGCTACAGAGAAGAAAATCCAAGCAGAACAAAGTCACAGGGGTTTTCAAATGTTTCTCATAAAACATAAGGCAGTATTTGCATGACAGTTTGTACAGCAGGTGGTTAATAAAGACAGTTATTAGTTTCCTATTTGAGCATTCATTCCAATCAATTGCCCATACTCAAAACATTTTTCATTTCTTCATTTTGAATAGCAGCCAAGTGGTATCACATTACCCACTTTTTTTTTCTGGATTATTTCCATTTCAAAAAGCCCAGTTACTCTCAGATCAAGTAAGCTCAAGTTTACATGTCCAAAAACATAGACAACCAAACTATACACATCGACTTACCACAACACATAAATGCACTAATTCACACTATTAAAAATAACAGCAGCTCTCATGTCTGTTGAACACCTGCTATATACAGGTGTTCATGCAGACATGGGCAAGGCATGTCTGTATGAACATGGGTGCCTTACATGAATAATCTCATTCAAATTCCACATCAGCCCTGTGGGATAGGTATGATTATTCCCATTTTATAGAAGAGGAAACAGAAGCTCCATGTAAGTGACTTGCCCAAGATAATATAGTTAGTTAAATGGCAAAACAAAAATTCAAACCTAGGTTTATCTCCCTATAAAACTCATGTTTTTCCCACTATACCCATGCAGTGTACTAAATGAAACAGTTTCCTGTATCATTTTGCTGTAACCCGTAGCTTCTGAAAAGTATCAACATTTAAGATTTTTTTTTTGTTATTGATCTCTAGGCATGGTATTGAACAGTGAAGTTTTGGTAATACTCACTGCTTCCCCTTCCTGCCAAACAAAATGCATTTACTCTACCCCACTCCCAGCATAGACTACTTACTTTAGTGTTAGGCTTGTTTTCTTTTGCCTTCAATAACTTTTGTCCTCTTCTCCAAGTCTGAACATAATCTACCATTTGTACACCTCCCTCCTCAATAAAGCTTCCCTTGATCACTCTAGTTCATGCTAGTCTCTTTTTTATCTCCTCTTGGCTTTCAATATCTTGGACTTGGCAATTGACAATTAATTTAACAAACAGTTATCTAATATCTAATATCTACTATGTATCAGGTATTATGGTAGGTGCTGGGGATTCAAAAACACATGGTCGTTGTCCTCAATGAGTTACCATCAGCAGCAGCATTCCGATCATCAGCATTATCAACATTCACTAATCTTAATGACCTCCATTAACATTATTTGTTGCACACTTACTAAGTGTTTTACATATATTGCCTATGTAAATGTATGAAGTGAATGTTGTCTTCATTTTACAGTTTGATGGAACCAAGGCTCAAAGACTTTATACAACTTGTTCAGTCCTGCACAGCTGGTATGCATAAAGTTTAAGATTGGCACTGGGGTATGTATGAGTTCAAAGCTTAGACTCTGAGGACGTTATTATTTTGCCTTCTTAGTAGGCAATTATAGTACCAAGTGGGCAATTACAGTGCCACTGGGTGAGTCTGAAGTTGGAGTGTGCATGGCTAAGTCTTCTCTGCCCACGGAGCTCTAAATTTTAAAAGGAAGGAACAATGGCATTAGCTTCTGTAATGAGACCTTGACAGTACCTAAAACCCAGCCTGGATGATATTGGCCTTTCACTAAATACATGTTGAATTATCCATGGTTGGGTCTCAGAAAAGTAAGGTTTATGCACATTTATAAACCGTAAAGGCACAATAAACACAGGCCATTATTTTGTAATGGTGTTGTTCAGTTTATTTCATCACTCATTAATTCAAATGTTTATTGAGCAACTACCAGCTTCTGGAGAAGAATGGCTTCTCTAACTGTTGAGGCCACAGTGGTAAGAGGGCTGGACTGTTGCCACTCTATCAGGGTCATTGCCACTATGTGATTGAAACTTGGTGTTTGGTGAGGAGGATAGATAAATCTACATTCAAATACAGTGATTTGATAAATTCTTTCAAAGAATGAGCAAAGCTCTATGAAAGCACTTAATGATGCTTGTATAGGTCAGGGAAAGTTTCATTAAGAAGATATTGGAGCTGAGGTCTGAGGATGAAGATAATCTTACTAAGTGTAGAAGGAAGGAGGTCCACCTTCTATGTACGTGTGGAACTGAGCAGACACATTTTAAGAAACCACGGGAAGTGTGGTATTTGTGTGTGTATGTGAGTGTGGTGGGTATTGAAGGGTGACATGTGGAAGCAAATGAGGCTTGGGGAGTTAGCAATTAGGTCATGAAGAGTTTTATATAAATATTTAGGAAAATTTGTCTTTATAGTCATTAAAATCATAATTCCTTTTTGATAATCTAATACAAATCTAAGAATACTTTTCAGAGCAAAGCACACATATATACATCATTTTTATTATTTAAAGTAGAATCATAAATTTCCTGAGGTTCTTGGGGTCCTGGAACTGGGGTTAGAACACCCTGAACGGAAGATGGGAGGCCTCTGAAGTATTTGAAACAATGGACTTGAGTTTAGAGCATGCTAGCTATGTAAATGTATGAAGTAAGTATTGTCTTCATTTTACAGTTTGATAGAACCAAGGCTCAAAGTGTGGTGCATCATTTAATGAAGGAGACAATAATGTAGGTGAGGAGATTTCTTAGGAAAAAAGATAAAAATGATGAGAAAAGCAGATATTGGTATATAAAGGGAATGTCATCATCATAATATTTTTTAATTCTGCAAAGCATTTAATAGTCTTCTATGATAGTCTTGTGAATAAAATAGTAAAATTTGTGTGGATCATAGTCTTGCCAAGTGAATTGACAATTAGATAAATCACAATATCCAATGAGCATGAATCAGTAGCTATACATCCATTGCGAAGGAACTCTCTAGTGGATTATCTCAGAGATTGGTCCCTAGTCTGGGCTCTTTGGTGGCTTGGATGAAACTGAATAAAGTGCTCAGAAATGGCACATGGTAGTGGCTAAGAGCATGGGATTTAGCATCAGACATACCTGGGATTGAGTCCTGTCTCTGACACTTGTTATCTAAATGATCTTTGGCAGGGATGATGTCATGATACCCATTTTGTAGGCCTGTTCTGAGGATAAAATGAGGCAAAGCATTTAGCACCGCGCTTGAACCATAGTAAGCACTCAGTAATGATTAGCTACTTTTATGATGATCATCATGGCAGATTCATTAAAAGTGCTAAAAATTTTCTTATATTTTTGAGGTACTGAACTGGAACTTATAAGAAAAATATCAGCAGAAACAAGTGTAAAGTTCTTATATATCAAGGTTTAAAATTAATGAAACAATTGTGATTTGGTGAAAACTTGCTTGGTAGAAGAATATGTGAAAAAAAGCACCTGGAGGTTTTAGTTGATCATCAATTTTCTATTGTTGAGTTCTAAACATCTTGCCTAGCTTGGGCTATATCAAAGGATGAGTAAGACACATCACTAGAAATGATGGTCGTAGTGCTTTTTGTTTGCTTGTGTGCTTTGTTTTAAAGCTCGCAGATGGCAATTGGAACACACAACCACAAGTCAGAGACCACACTGTTCAGTGTAATGATACACAAGGCCATCTGTGGCATGATCAAGACCCATTTCTCCTTACCCACCTCCCCCACGCCCCCCCAACAACAACATATCCTCTAGCTATGTTAACTTCTGGGCACTATAGTCCTTATTGTAGAACTGACCAATGATGCCAGGGAAGCAGAAACACAGAAAACAACAAACATTTAAAGAACCTTCTTATCTTTAAGGATCCAAAATTTACAACCCTAATTTCTTCACATCCCTATACATTGCAATTGATATGCCATTTTGTGTTTTACTTTTTCCCACTTACAATATTCCTTATTGCTATTTGGTCTACATATCATTTTCCACAACTATTTGTTATTCTACAAACATTATCCAAATGTTGAACCACTTCTAGATAGCAATCTAAATCCATCTTTGTTTAAACTGGTATTGTGTTCCTTTTTTAATTTCCTTAAGATGTAATTTATTCCTACAAAGTAGAATGACCAAATCAAAATGCAGATCAATGTTTAATTGACAAGAATACCAGGTATTTTGCATAAAGATTATACTCAATAAAAATGATATGAGTAATAAATGAATGCTTTCATCCCCCATAGCACCTCAGAGAGTTTTTGTTTAGTAGCATTATTGGAAAACAGGGCTAAAACCAGAAAAGTGTCCAAGATAATGAGAAATTCAAGCCTTATGGCCTAAGAAGACTAAGAGGGGCCTGGAAACTTTTTTCTAATAACTGAAATAATATTAACAGACAGCGACTCTGGAGACCAGAGTTCAAGGCTATAGATCTGCAAGTTAAGAGCTCTGTGGCCTTGGGGAAATCTCTTAACCTTAGGTGTTAAGGTTCTCTCAATCATGAAATGAAGGCAATAGACTGCATAATGTCTGTGTTTTAAGATTCTATGATTTTAAGTTGTCTATAGGCATTTAGAATTTTTACAGTAAGAACAACTTTCTAACAGAAAAATAAACTGCCCTGAAAACAGCATAACCTCACTGGAGATTTGGGTGGCTCTGTCATATTTACTGAGACACTACCATGTACAAGATGGTGAGGGCACAAATATGTAGTCTTTCAGGAAAAAAGACATATGGAAAACTAAATAACAATAATGTATGCCAACAAGAGGTTAGGTAAGACAATAGTTCAAGTGACATCATTATGGGATTATTTCACTGAAAGATTAATTACCAAATGAGTGGTAAAGCAGATGCTATTAGTTGATTTAATAAAGGAAACCTGGACTCTAGAGTCATATAGACTTGGGTGTGAATCCTGGCTCTTTGGCTTACCATCTGTATGTCAAGGGACAATGTATTTAAATCTCTCTGTAATCAGTTTCCTCATCTTAAAATGGTATAAAGATAGTATCAATGTTAAAGGCGCATGGTGAACATCAAGTAGGATAGCATTTGTGAAGTACTTAACATGGTATGTACTTGAAAACATATGACTAATATTATTGTTTTTGTTGCTGTCATTTTTGTCAGGGTGAGCTTTACTGAGGTTGTTGAATTAGAGTTGGTTCTTTGAAGTTGAGTAGGTTTTTAGGCAGAAACAAAGGGAGATACAAAACAAATAGAATTCTTCACTGAGCATGGAGTTAGCGTAGAATTCTTTCAGCTTCCTTCCATCACTAAAATTCTATCATATAATCTGCGCATGTGTGCCTAATTTTTCACATATCACATAGGTGGCTATTATATTGATTTTGGTGGCTTGATAATACTTGTGTCAATAGGAGATAAAGTTGGTTGAATGCATGTTTATTTTATTCAAATAAACAAATTATTTGAATAATCATAATTAATTTATTAAAATATGAGTTCCTGTAATAATTAGACATTGTGCTAGGTGCCGAGGGATACAGAGAAATGTATGAGGCATATCCTTCCCCCTATGGAGTTTATTGTATAAAAGGGGATTATAATATTAACTACAAATGAAACACTACATGAAGTTAGAGAACAGTTTAATATTGTAATTGTTATATTATTGCTGTTAATAATAATTTACAAAGAATTCAATGGAGGCAGTATTTATTGACATGGATTTTATGTCTGTCCTTCAATAACAACAAAAATCAAACACTAATATGGCTTTATGTTCTTTGTACACTGGAGTGTACACAGGTTAGGTATCATTATCTCTAGCCCAAAGTAACTCTGCTGGTAAGTGGTGAAGCTGAAATTCAATCCTAGATTTTCTGGCTCTCTTAATGGTAATTGTAGTAGCAATGAAAATTTCTATCTCTTACTGCATACCAACCACTATTCAAAGGACTTTACTTATATTAATTATTAATCCTGGTAATAAGGTAAGTTTATGAGTGCTATAAGGTAAGTAGCATTCTTGCCCTTGTTTTACAGATGAGAAAATGGAGGTTTCAAGAAATTCAATAGCCTTGCCATTGTCACCTGGCAAGTAAACAATCAAAACAGAACTGTGATGCAAACCAAGCACTGACTGACTCTGGATGCCACCCTCCTCCCTACCTTGCTCAAGGAGCATAGAAGTCAGGAGAGAGTTATCTTAGGAACCTGATAACGTGTTTGTGATACCCCCTAGAAGGATGAGTTGCTGCCATTAGTCTGTGGACCTCCGACAAAAAAGCATCTCCAGAGTACTGGGAAGCAATTGACATGCACACTTTGAGGGGGTTCTGAGGAATGGAAGAGGGCACAGAGAGTCACCAGTGTGTGACTGTGTGTTTTCTGAAAGGCGGTTTTCTGTGACTCTCATTACCAAGCAAGGTCACACAGATGTACACATGTAGACAGCCTGAGACTAAAAATAATTTAAATTCTTAACAGAAGTATGACATCTGACATCTTTAAAAGATGAGGTCCTTAATTTATGAAAGCATTTCATGGGAAGACAAATGAAAAATGAACGTGGGGAAGGAGAACAGACTGTATATGTAAGTGTTTAAAGAAGAGAAAGAGACTTTTTAGAAGAGAAAGAAAAAATTAGAAAAAAAAGAGGAAAGAGAAAAAAAGCAAAATGCACAGGTACAGAAATTGAATACAAGTATAAGAAGGTTTCCTTTATAAATAAAGGAGTGTTTACCTCCTGAGTTTAATCAGGTTGCCTCCTATGCACTTCCGCCAATCATGTGCAGTGAGCAAGCCTGCGTTCGGGCAGGCCAGTCTCCCCTTCCTGTGCACTTTCTCCATTTTCCGTATAATCTCTTCCACTTTGCAATGTTGAAGTTTAGCACTTTCTGTCATCAAAGCCAGCTCATGAAGACAACGTATTTTCAGTGGTTTTTACATTTAATGTGAATTTATGTCAAACTAGTGGCTCCCTCAGGGGTGTTGTGGCATTTGTCACAAAATTAACAATAAATGGTAGTATCTATTATGTAATGTGTTCAAATTCTGTGCAATGATTCACATGTGTTATCTCCCTTAATTTGCACCACCATCTCACCAAGTAAGTGCTATTTTAAACGTCTCTTTCTTACAGATGGGGAAAGCTAGAGTGCTTAAGTAACCTGCTTAAATTCAGATAACAAAAATCTGCAATAAGGAGTCTAGGAGGGTGTCAGAGGGTGTAGGCTTCAGTCTTGACTGTGCTTCTTCAATATTTGACCTGAGCTGGTCAATGATTCTAGCTTCACCTCTGCTAAATTAGGACAATAATACCAGTGCTCTCAATCTTATCCAAGGAAGGATCTGCACCACTAATGCCAGATGCCATAAGAACTGCATATTTTACCTTCTCTTCATCTGAGGTTGGAAACAGTCACCCTGAAAACACAATCTGAAGCATGGGCAGCAGGAGAGAGTGGTCTGATTTGTTTAAAGACTGTCCCCATTTTGCAGGCTATCAGGCCAAACAACTGCCCACCCTACCAGATCTGCTGCAGGCAGGAGGCAAATGACCCTTATGCCCAGGGATGACAATGCAGGGATATAACCAACAGATGGAGACATCAGAAAGTCTCAGAGTGCATAGAAGACAGACGACGCTCCAGAAGATGTATGAAGCAGCAAAGAGTGAAAATTAGACTAGCTTTTTCTTTAAAAGCTGATTATATTAGTTAGAATTAGGAAAAGATAAATGAGACCCAATTCTACAGTAATTTATAGAATATGTTATACATAATGCAGTGACAAAGGGAAAGAATGTTGGAAAGAGATTGAATTAATTTTGAATCTGGGTTTTACCCTTACCCTGTGACCCTGAAAAATTATCTGACCTCTCTGAGTTTCAGCTTCATCATGTTGTATAATGAAGATAGTACCTTTTACAGACATTGGGAGGATTAAATATGATGATATAGGATGTTCTATGTTCTTGTTATTTGAGGATAGTCAATAACAGAGAAATCATTTAACAATTAAGGTACTTTAAATGGATACTAAAATTTCATAGTACATAATGATAGAAGGGTTTGATTAAGATTCTAAGCTGTCATAAACTAAAGTTGTGAAAGGATATTTTATTAACAAAGTTTAAGCTACATTAATAATTGAGTTCTTGGAATGAATAAAAATAGTTTGTGTTGATATTTTTGGGAAGGGTATATTTTTCTGATAAAATTATGTTAATAGCTTTACACACCACCCAAGATTTAGGTTTGGCTTTGATTCAAGATCATAAATGGAGCCATTATTGCAGAATTAATTGAGAGTTTTATACATTATTCCGAGGGTCTCTTAGTTTCTTGTCTTTCTTTTGAAGTGGCTCTGATGTAAGCTTATGTTTTTCCCTCTTCTTTAGTAATTAATAATTTTAATTTCTGTTAAATTCTAAACTGACAATGACTTTAGGTGTGATGAAAAGCTTTACATCATCAGTTTCACTGACTTCATGGAATCCTATATCCTTCCTAAGACTGGCAATTTCACTTGCAATAAATATGCACTGTATTTGCATGGTATATCCATTGTTTATATGACCAGATGTTTATGGGAAAATTTATTGGGTTCTGCATTCATGTAATGGGTGGGGATGGACACTAGTGTTAATTTGGGAAAAAGTGTATCAGAATGAGGACTAAGGTTATAAGTAAATACTTTCATGTTGCTGTGGTCTCTGCTTGTCTTCAGAATCCAGTAACTGCAAGGTGACCAATAGTGAACACTGGGACAAAGAGTTTCATTAGTTTATGTAAATTACAGTACCTGACACACAGTAAAAACTCGATAACTTGGCAGCCATTATCATTAGCAGTGAAGAAGAATTTGCCTTACAGTCGTGTCATGTAACATACAGTTTCAGGCTCTCCTCAGCACCAGATGCATTTAGTAAATGAGGAAATAATAAAAAGAAATGTAGAAATTCTTTCTATATAGTTCAGTAGAAAGAACTGTATCATGAGAGCTTAACTTGAAAAGGTAAGTGTGCTCCTGTGACATTGTGAATCTTAGCTGAAGTGATGATTAATAAAGTTACTTTTTATGATAGCAAAAACTTTTCAAAAATGTTTAGAATAGGTTTGGGAGAAAAGAAGTCAAAATAAAGTTACTACATATAAATTTTTAATTTTTTCCCTTTTCTCTAAATCTTGGAATATTATGATTGTAGTTGGCTTAGATTATATAAAATATTATATAAAATATATCTTATATGTGTGTAAATTGTGTGTGTGCATGCTGCATATAAAAATGTATCTCTATGTAATGTTTTCTTGAGTGTTTTGATAGTCTTATACTATCACCTAATCTAATTAATAATAATGCTACGATGAGAACTAAAAGAACATATACTTTCTGAATTCTGGGGACTGTGCTAAGTGTTCCACATGCATTCCCTTATTAAATCCTCACACTTTTAAGAAAGATGTATTGTTATCCCCATTTTACAGCTGACAAACTGAAGCTTAAAAAAGTCAAGAAGCTTCTGTTAAGTGCTGCCTTGGCTTCTCCTGTCCTGAGGTAAGTAGCACCAATTGACCTGCTGAGTGAGAATACAGAGGAAAAAGGGCAAACCTCAAAAGGGGAGGAACAATATTATTGAGTACTTGCTATGAGCTAGGTACTGTCTTTTATGCTTTACACATAATGCATCATTTAATTATGACTACAACCATGTGTCCAGATAGGCATTACTACATATTATAGATCAAGAAACTGAGTCTGAGAGGAGAGAACCGTTTACCCATGTTTTTGCAGCCAGTAAATGGTGGAGTCAGAATTCAAATCTAGATTCACTTGACTCCACACTTTTCCATATAAGAGCCCCATAGGCCTCGTCCTTACCCATGGTAGCACTGGGTGAGTTATCCTTGCTACATGCTTTTCAGAGTGCTACATGTTCTCCTTCATGAAAATGAGGAAAGTGTACTTAAGAAAGTCAGTTCTCCAATGAGAACACATGGACACAGGCAGGGGAACATCACACACTGGGGCCTGTCGGGGGTGGGGGGCTGGGGGAGGGATAACATTACAAGAAATACCTAATGTAGATGATGGGTTGATGGGTACAGCAAACCACCATGGCACATGTATACCTATGTAACAAACATGCACGTTCTGCGCATGTATCCCAGAACTCTGCGCATGTATCCCAGAACTTAAAGTATAACAGTAAAGAAAACAAAACAAACAAAAACAAACAGAAAAAAAAATTCGAATGATTGATAAACATGCATGGATGCCCAAAATAAATACATAAATAAATAAGAAAGTCAGTTCTCATAGCGTAGAACTGAGAGTACTGGATTTCTGAGTATGTAAATAGGATTAGAGTTATTTCCAGTCTTCCTCTTCATAAGTCTCTGCTCACTTGCCCTGGTTATATATGTATGTCATGTGCATATATATTTTTTTTGCTTTTCAAATTCTGCTCAGTCCAGGAACATACAATCAATTGACATTTTTCTTCATGTTTTGTAGAGAATTTTTCTTCAACCTGGGTCTTTGCCTAGAGCACCTAAACTGTCATCCAAAATTAATGCCCAATTGAATTAACTTCCTAAAATGTTTGACTCAGAAGATGAGAATATTATACTTGCTTTTTATTATCCAAGTCAGAACACATGTATTCAACAAAAATACTATTGTTAAATATGAACATAAGACAGAAGACAAAGTCATAATACAAATGAAAGAAAAGTGAATGTACACTTGCTCAAATTGATTTCCTCAGTCTAAAAACTTAGGATTTTCTTTGTCTTAGTATGAAGACTCATACAGCCAAATTTTAAACACTTTCACATAGACAGTGGTGAGAGTTTGATCAAGCATTGGAAACAGGCAGCTATAGCATGGCACTATGAAGAATATGAATAAATATATCAAAAGCTAATTTATGTAAAGCACTTGTATACGATGGCCGCTGTGCTAAACACATTACATGCCTCATGTCTTCTAATCTCAAAACATCTCTCTGAGGTACACTCTTTTAAATTAAACCTTAGTGAAATTAAATAACTTGCTCAAGGTAATTTGCTCTATAGTAAGTAGGGGAGCTGGGACTGAAAACCAGGTCTAACTTCCATTGTATTCTTAAACCCTACCCTGTGTTAAAGATGTTTGCCCCTACATCCTAGGAAGTTGTGATCCGAGATCTAGCTGCAGGCATGGCATGCATTCTCAAAGCAGAAGTATCACCCCAAAGGGGATAAAAATTGGTTCTTTGGGGAAGGTGAAAGAAATCTTACTTGTTAAATATATAAAGCACACAAATATACATATAGCACATGACCAGATGTACAGTACCTCTATGATATTAGAATTCGACTTGGGGAGCAATTAGGGAAAAACAAGGTCTAACAGAGGCTCTCTGGGCAAGGAAAGAGGGATAATGAAAAAAAAGTTTGAGAAGCACTAATCTACAGGCTTAAAAGGGCCAAAGATGTGAATGCCCCTGGACAACTCATCAACTCTCTTGGAAAATTAACAGTCATCTACCAGACTATGCAACTGCTGGTGGGAGAAACTGTCACATTCTTTGGAATCTAAGATACAGAATTTTGAAAGATGAAACAAGTAGGTTATGACTGACATGCATCCTAAAGGAACACTCAGGTGCTATAACTGTATCTGTCAAAAATTTCTTGTTGACTTTCAAGGAAATTATTTACTTTGCAATAATTTATAAGTAAATTCTGGAAAGCTAATGCAGATAAAATTCTGGAATTTTTGATGTGTCACAAAATTAAACTATCAATGCAAAGAGTATAAAGAGGTCAAGGTTATAAATATGTGGTATAGAAAAATCATCATGCCACTATGATATTAATTGTAACTGCTGATGGCCAGAAGTGATTCAGATGTGTCTGCAGATTCTGAATATGAAATAGATTTAGGCTCAGTTTCTGATGGTTATACTGAAGATAGTGGCCAGCACTTTGTCTATTATTATTGGTTAGAAAAAAAAATGCTTTTCTACACTTGACAAAGTTTATTTCGTGCCCAAAAAGTTGTGAAAACAATGGAGCATAACCCAGTGTATGGCTTCTTGGGATCAAGTAAATGCAGCACACATATTTGTGTGTGTATGTGTGCCCATGCGTGTGTGTGTAGATACATGCAGACAGGGTTTCATCAAGAATTTTCACCAAAACATCAAAAATGTTATTTCTACTACTCTCTGAATAGTGTGATTTTGGGGTGATATTTACTCTTTTATTTATACTTTCCCATATTTGAATTTTTAAAAGTAATAATATGCTTAAATTAATGTCATGATCACAATAAAGCCAACTGTGAGCTATTTGTAAATACTTTGAAGTGTCAAAGGGAATATTAGCGTATGTTAAAATAAAAGGATGCATAATTATACACTGTGTGATAATATAAACTATACATGCACACACGCAGACTCACATTCACATGCAAAATCTCAGAACTGAAAAACATCAAAATGATAATAGTGGTCATCTACAGCTATTTGATTATAGATCTTTTTAAAAATACCTTTCTGTTTTTCCAAGTTTTCTATAATGTGTATGTGTTACTTTCATACTGAGGAAAAAATATAAGTACATATTGATAATTACTTTGGAATTTTAAATATTGAGATTTCTACATTTTTCCTTTTTCTTTTTTCTTTTGTCATCTTTACATTTATTTATTAAAGAGAAAAGATAATATTTAGATTAAAATATCAACTGTCATAAATATTTATTAAAATATTTATAATTTATATTATATATAAATGTGTATCTCTATATAAATTATATCATATATATTTATTTTATATATAACTATTTTATATTATAAATATATAAATATATTTTATAGTATAAATATTTATTTATATTTTACATATTATATAATATATAGTTTATATTTTATGTATAATATAAAATATATTCAAAATTAAAAATATTTGATGAAAATGTGAGATAAAGGTAATAAAGATGAGTGACCAAATTAAAATAAATGGTTTGATAGCAAGAAGCAAATTATAACAAAAACATTTCAGATTTTACCAAAAACAGTAATTCATTAAAAAGAAATAAATTGTGAACCAAAGTAATGAAGAAGTTTTTTTGTTTTGTTTTGTTTTTGTTTTAATATAACTGGAATTCAGAAACATTTTGTTATTTATTTATTTATTTTTAAATTTTACTCTAAGTTCCGGGATACATGTACAGAATGTGTAGGTTTGTTACATAGGTAAACATGTGCCATGGTGGTTTGCTGCACCCGTCAACCCGTCACCCAGTTTTTAAGCCCCACATGCATTAGGTATTTGTTCTAATGCTCTCCCTCTCCTTGCCTCCCAACTCCCGACAGGCCCCAGTGTGTGTTGTTCCCCTCCCTGTGTCCATGTGTTCTCATTGTTCAACTCCTACTTATGAGTGAGAACCCATAAGTGTTCTTTCCTTGAATGGTTTATTTCTTTTCTTGAAGTGTTTATTTCTTGAATGGTTCCTTGCAGTTACAAATTGGATGCTGGTAATTTTGAGCACTACTGAAAGTTATTCTCCCAATGGGACTGATAAATATGATTGGAGAAGTAGGAAGAATGCAGTCTGCCATTGTTTGCCTGCCTGAAAGCCTGCTATTTGAGCTGCTAGTTTCATAGCAAATGGGCTGTGTGTAAAGTCCAAAAAAAGGCAAAAACCTAAGGAAAGGAGTAACTGACATTAAATAACTCATGCTTCCTCTCCCTAGATTCATTTGCCACAGTGATGATTGCAACTTTTCCGAAACATCCTTGAACAATTAATATTACCCTTGGGACACTTCTCCAGAAAAACCTCTTATGTTTTCTCAGGGCATATTTCAATTCTCTGAATCAGATCTTAGGGGAAGTCATGCTGTTATTACTCTGAATAGAAGACTAAGAAACACAGTTGTAAACACACACAGCACACGCTGCCTGTGTGAATATGCGTCAGCAAGAAAAGAAGCCCCAAGGCCATATTTACTTGTGTCCTGGTGACTTGGTACGGCAAAGTCAGCAGAAGAGAACACAAAGTCCATGAAATTTTTTTGTCTGCTGACAGTCCACGCTGTAGCAGAAATGATTACACACACAGTGCAGAATAGTTGAAGACATAAAAAGGTTCAAATCTTAAGGACAGTGACTTATGTTAATGCCTTATGTTAATGTCTCTCAGCCAATCTTTGATTTAATAAATGAAGCAATTAATATAAAATTCTTAGCACATGTCTAGCACATATTAAATATTCATTAATACTAACTATTATCTTAGGAAATGATTACTTTTGAATAGTACTTTATAGTTTGCAAAAGCCTTTCACAAGTAATTGTCTAAAATTTGTTTGGAGTATATGTGGTGCTGATTAAATATATCCACAGCAGACACATAAAAAGGATTATAAGTGGGAGATTCTCCTGAGTCTTAATAAAATCTCTTTGAATCACTAGTATACTTTCTTCATTCATTTATGTCAGAGGTTAATAAGAACAGTATTTTGAAATAGGGTAGGCAGCCAAAGTCTGTGGACAGCTCTTCTCAAAAGACATAATAGAAACAAACGCTATAGAGGTCATCAGCCAGCGATTGCATGTTGAAGGCTCAGAACCATCCAAAGATGAAGCAGTTTCCCCCTGGAATTCTCAGCTTCTCCATTCTTTTCTCAGGAAGTTTGAAATTATATGTCAAATTGGCAGAAATGCTATGATTTACAAATCCTTTAATAAAAGAGAGGATAAAAGATTTTCTGCCACATCTCCCATCAGTGTTGACACAGAACCCCCAGGAGTACACTGGCAGGCAGACCATTAGTCTCAACAAGTCAGCTTTAATAATGGGCTCTGGTAGAGGCAAAGGGTGTACAGCAACGCAGTGGCATGATGCTTCCAAATCATTGTCTTGCTCCGTACCAGCAGAGAAAACACTGCTTATCATCCCTGCTGACAAGGAAGGGAGACCATGTAGCAACTCTCAGCAGAATCAAATTGTCAGATTTTTATGTGGAAGAAGACAAGAATGCCACAACTGAAACTTCTCCAAAGCAGGCAAGAACTAAGTAAAACACAGCCATGTTACAAGCAGAGGATGCATGAAGTTGGACAACAGTTGCTTATATTTGAGTGCTTTGCATGCACTATACTAAGTGTTTGACTTTAATCTTGACCACAGCCCTGTGAAAGAGCTGCCATTATTATTCCAGTTTTCAGAGGAGGAAACTAAGTCTTAGGTTAGGTAACCTGCCTAAAGTCACACATTGTGCTGAGGTTATAACTAAGATCTAGAAGGCTTATTCCAGAGCTCATGCATAAACGCATACACACACACACACACACACACAGAGTTCTTTTTCTCTTTATATATGTGATATGAAATATCTATGATATGCCATATATCATTCATATTCCATATTTCATATATATCATATACAAAAACATTATATATCATATATGAAAACCTATGATATATATCATACTGTAGGTTATGATCATATATAATATATATGATATAGATCATATATAAATGTGATATAGCTGATATACAATATATAGTATGTATGCTATATCAGTATGTCAACATATCACACATATGATATAGAATATATGTGTGATACATATCATATCATATATATGATATATATATTCCATATCTTTTTCTCTATTATCTCTATATGTGTGTGTGTGTGTGTGTGCATATGTATGTATATGTGTACTGAGAGCAAATGGATATGCATTAATTGAGGAATCTTTCTAATACTAGGATAATACCAAGCATACCTTAGGTTAACATTTACATATCACCTAAGATTTTCTATTAGACTCTAACATAGCAACATGTTATATTGCTTCAGGGTAGAGTCTATGTAGGTATAAATGTTGCTCCCGTTTCTTCCATCACCCTACTAGAACATTTTTGCAATTCTACCATTGCCTTTGCTACAGGATGCTTTGCATAGGAAGTGCCGAACTCTTCTCTTTCTTCTATTCTTCTATTTCTTGTGAATTACTGGAAGGCAGGAGTTTTATTATTTCACCTCCATAATTCCAGCACAAGGGCTTGTAGCTAGAAGAGCTCATGGACTGGTTGTGAAGCACTGAATGCAAAAATAAATGAGTGAATATTCTTTAACTTTTCTATTCTGTTACTCATTTTCCTGCTCCAGGGAACTATTTAACTTATGCTTCAGGTTTTAAAATTGTCCACGCATAGCAACCCTTCTTTTTGTGGGGCTCAAGACTTTCCGCTGTTCTTGTTAGTTCCCCATTTGGTTACTCCAGTCAGATGAGAAGTCCTGTTCTAGAATCTACTTTTGCACCCAGGGAAGTGCAGCTGACACTCAGGGTTCCATTCCTCTCTGGGGAGTGAAAGGCTTCAATCTTGAGCAAAGCAAATGTTGCCCAATGTTTATCTATTTTAAACCTATTGGCCTTTGTATGACAGACATATTCAGAAACAACTGTGTGTTTTGGACCATTATGGCCATAAGAGGAAGAAACTACATTATCAGTGAGTCTGATAGAGATACAAGAAGCTTCTAAGTATAGTCACCACCAGACACCCAAGAGGCCACTTTAGAGACCAGGAAGTTACCAGAAATGAGAAACAAATGCATCTTGGATGCAATACCTTCTTGGTCTCTTCCTTTCATTCTTCTTTAATTTGAATGCAACTTCAAAGCATGGATAATTTAAAACCTTTCATATGTATAGTACTTTATTAAACAAAAACAATGCATCTTATCAATTTTCCTAATTATCCTGCCAGGTGGGTATTATGCTTTCCATTTTAAAAATGATAGAACAGAGACCCAGAGACATTAAATGCTCAAGATCACGTGGTTATTGAGTGGCACAACCAAGACTTGAGTAGCATAGTGGTTAGGAACATCAGTTTTGTGACATAATAGTAACTCCCTTTCAACGTATTTAACCATTGACTAGCTGTGTTATCAATAACTCCCCTCTAACTGATTTAACCACCAACTAGCTGTGTAATCTCAGAAAAGTTACCTAAATGCTCAGAGCCTTTGTTTACTCATCTGTAAAATGTGATTAACAATAGTACCCACTTCCTAGGACTGTTGTGTGAATGACATGAGCTTGTGCATGTGGAGTAGCTAGCTCAGAATGTAGCCCGTATTAAGGGCTCATCAGCGATACACTGCATCAGCATTACTGGTAAAAACAGCAGCACCCCAGATATGCTGAATCCAAGCAAAATGATATTTTCACCAACTAGGTACTCCTTGCATGGTGACATGCTTGGAATAGAAGGTAACACACCTGCTCTCCAGCTTTCCCATCAGTAGAATTCTAACATGAATTCTGTACATTTATGTCCTCTCTAGAAGCCTATTCCTTCCATTTTGGCCTAGACCTCAGGCCAGAAACAGGGGACACTTTGCTGGCTTTCTGTTCTAACATCAGCATGACAGTTGTACACTAATCATGAATGAGACAGGACAACTGTCTCAAAGAGCAGGAAACCAAGTATGATCATCATGCTGGTCAATGTCAAAATTTTCAGAACCAGGGAACTAATTTATTATGAAGAGGTAAAGTGTACTACTGAAATCCTCGGCAGAACTGCCTGATAGAAGATTTTGCAGGTTCAGCTCCACTTTAATCTTCTTAACAGGTTGAGGCTATTAAAAAAAACTCTCTGTGACCTTCAGTTATTTTAATAGAATGAATTTTTCATTTTAGATAGACAATACAGTCCATATATAAAAACTCAGAATAGCTAAGGAGCGTGGTTTTAATATTTCTAATGAAGACAGTCTTGTAAAACTGCTTTTAATGTTTCTGTATTGTTTCCCCAACCTGGTACTTAATGCTGTGATTTGCAGAGTGGGTACTTAATAATTTTCCTGTTATTGATTGAAAGGGGCCTTCAGTGGGGTAAGTGCTATTAGCAAACACCTCCCACTTAAGAATAATGTGAATTTAGCATAGCCATTGCTCCCCAGAAAATTGGTCATATCTTCCAATTTTCCTTCCTTTAGTGTCTCTCAAATGAATGAATTAGTATCTTTGTGGCTGCATGTGAGAAATTTGACCAGTTCATTTCTTACTTTATTGCTATGTCAGGGTAAGGAAAGTCGAATGCTCTATGACTATAATTGTGACTTGCCAATGACTAAGTAGGGGTATTTAATAACCTGCTTAAGAAGGTCAGACATTTAAAATGCCCAAGCGTTTATTTTTTTCACAGAGATAATATAACTCCAAAAAGAAAAAATGTAGCTCCTATTATGTAAATGATTAAGGTCCTTTCAGAAACGTATTTTTCCTCTCTGGGGTCTCATCTGGATAATGAAAAGAACTTGAATATCTCCACCTGGATTAGTGGACTGAGAACAGGAAGAACGTGAGGACAGAGGTCTCAGTGGGGTCAAAGGCTGGTTAATAGGTACAAAATTACAACTAGATAGGAGGACTAAATGTTAGTATTCTATAGCACTGTATGGTAAATAGGGAAAACAATAATTTATTGTATATTTCCAAAAAGAGGATTTTGAATGTTCACAACCCAAAAAAATGATAAATATTTGAGATGATGGATATGCTAATTACTCTGATTTGATTATTATACATAGTACACATGTATTGAAATATTATTTGGTATCCTATAAATAGGACAATTATTAGCTGTCATCTAAAAATAAAAGGGAAAAATAAGGTGTAGTATCAGGAAATTAGAGAGCTGGAAGGCTAGAAGATTAGGGCAAAACCTTTGTTGCAAGGACTGAATGAGATTAGGTATGTACAGTAGGGTGAGGTAGTGACCTCTGGCTAGGTGGCCAGAGTTTGAATCATTACTCTGTTTTTTTTTTTTTTTTTTTGAGATGGAGTCTCACCCTGTCACCCAGGCTGGAGTGCAGTGGTGCAATCTTGGCTCACTGCAACCTCCACCTCCCAGGTTCAAACAGTTCTCCTGCCTCAGCCTCCCAAGTAGCTGGGATTACAGGCACGTGCCACCATGCCCTGCTAATTTTTGTATTGTTAGTAGAGGCGGGGTTTCGGCATGTTGGCTGTGCTGGTCTTGAACTCCTGACCACAGGTGATCCACTCGCCTCGGCCTCCCAAAGTGCTGGAATTACAGGCGTGAGCCACTGCGCTCCACCACTCTGTCTCTTTTGACTGTGTGACCCTGTGAAAGTTACTTACATTATCTGAATCTCAGTTTCTGCATCAGTGAGTTGTGCAGGTGAAATAAGATAATAGATGGAGGCTGCTTTACACATGGTAAATACTCAGATGTTAGTTACTCATATTCATTATTATTTTTATTTTATTTTTCATTTTTCAACCTCAAATTCCCCAATTTAAAACTGCAACCCTCACTATGCTCCATTCTCCTTTCCTATTTTATTTTTCCTATAGAACTCATTACAATATTCATACTATATATATTTTACTTATTTATCTTTTTAACTTTCCACAGTAGAACATAACCTCTGTGGGGACAGGTATTTTTTCTGTTTTGTTCACTAGTAAGGAGTGCCCAGGACAGTGCTAGTACACAGCAGGCAGTCACTTAATATTTGTTGAATGAAAGAATATTGCTTCATAAAGTCCCTGGTGTACAAAAAGGGTGACAAATTCTTAATGATGAAACAGCTGAAATGAGACTTGCCAGGGGAATGACTTCCAGGATGTGGCCAGAGGTGTGGAGTACCGAGTAAAGTGGAGAGAAAGCTTCTTGGAGCAAAAATCAAGAGGCCCTGGAGCCAGCATGTGAGACAGGTCACACACGTACACTCTATGTCACAGGATGATGCTGGGAAGTGAGGTGGCACAGAGGATGACACGCAAGCTGCCAGCACCTCTAAGATAAATGCAGAGGACTGCTCTGCAGTCAACTGTTAACAGCAATAAGGAGTGGAAGAGGGTGGAATTATCAGACGGCTGCTCTCACAATCAGGAAGGCTTTGGAAGCAGCAATAGGGAGCTAAGAGAATCCAAACACTGCCTCCTAGTCCCATGATGAACGATCCACAGAAGACTGAAGAGAGGTCTCCATAGAGAGTGCTATGGAAGTGATGGCTCCTAAGAGTCAGGATTTCGTCAGGAAACACGTGGGCAAGTTCAGCTGAGAGACTGAAATGTAGAAAAGGGTACTGCTAGGGATGTGGCATTCCTGGTGGGAATGATGGGAAAAGACGAGTAAACAGGAGCGCAGAGAGTCTAGAGATGAGAGTGTGTGAGATGTAAGAGGCTATATGAGTAGATGACAGAGCTTATATTCCTACACGAGGCCACTTAAGTACTTAAGGTAGCAGATTTTTTGTTTGTTTGTTTTTCACCACCACATACGAGATGATTTTGTAGTTAAAAAAGCTAACCAAGGAGAAGTGCAGTACATTTCTGGAAACATCTTGATGTTCAAATACTCTAGGGAATTGCTCAAATAGCTAACAGTCATATCTTCTATTTAATATTTGTCATGAAAATATCTTGCCCTCCCACCTCAGAATACTTGATAGCTTCAATAGGATACAGTCTTTGATGAATTTAAAAAGTCATCACCATTTGGGCCGGGCGCCGTGGCTCACGCCTGTAATCCCAGTACTTTGGGAGGCCGAGGCGGGTGGATCACAAGATCAGGAGATCGAGACCATCCTGGCTAACACGGTGAAACCCCATCCCTACTAAAAATACAAAAAATTAGCCGGGCGTGGTGGCGGGCGCCTGTGGTCCCAGCTACTCGGGAGGCTGTGGTAGGAAAATGGGGTGAACTCGGGAGGCGGAGCTTGCAGTGAGCCGAGATCGAGCCATTGCACTCCAGCCTGGGCGACAGAGCGAGACTCCGTCTCAAAAAAAAAAAAAAAAAGTCATCACCATTTGCAATCTTTACTGTTTTTTTCCCAACTTAAAATAAATAGAATTTTTATCATAAATTAATATTTCAGTGAAGCTGTTTCTAAAAGTAAAACATTCAGAAAAGCACTGGGACTCGAGAATTAGAACCACTAACACTTTTCTATCTCTATTATTAACTTAAATTTGGAAGTGTGAAGCACCCATGTTATCCTCAAATAAAGTCATACGCCACTTAGTTGATTGGTTGATCAGTAGCTCAAACATTGACTGACAATGATATCTAAAGCATTGTAAGAACAAAATGATGAACAAGACAGAATAGTGTTTTGAACACTGTAAAAATACTATTTAGAAGTCAATAAATAAAAATTGAAAAGCTATTTGGAACTGATGACTATTTTGAAGTGGGAATCTTTCTTCTTCTACATTCCCTGAATGAAGAATTAAAGATAATGTTAATTAATATTAATAATAACAAATGTGGGTAAAACCAGAGTGCCCTACAAGAATATGTTAGAAATCCTATTTAATAAAGCATGTTGAAGGAAAATGTTTTTGCAGTATAAAAATTTAGGTGGGGGCACTACTCTCGAGGTAAATTAAAATGTCACCATTTCTATGTCATTTTATCATCACAGCAGAAAAATTAAAAAAATTCTTCTAGGTTTTACTAGCTAAAAATACCCGAGTCTAGCGTACATACATGATGAAAACAAATCTCCATTTAAAAAATATAGCCGTTTTTGCTCAGATAGCAAGACATCATTTTTAGTTTCTTCTAAGGCTTCCCTTGAAGTGCATTTGAATATACTTGTATCTGCATAAACATTTTTTAGCGAGAGAAACAGTGACACCAACATTCATGATATGGCTATTCACACATCCTTTCAAGAAGCCTTCTTTATACTTAAACTTGAACAAAGTCCAAGATTAAGATAATACAGTACTAGAGATTCCAATTAATTTCTATTAAAACGCTTCTTGCATGACTTCTCTTGGCCCAAATTGAGATGTTTAAGGAATTTGGGTCTCACTAATTAGAATGGCAATGTTACCAACTTTAAATACCCAGACATCTACTGACAAATATATTTTCATAAAATGTGATATGTTATTCCACACATTTATTAAATATTTATATTTGATTGATAATATGTATTTTCAAAACAGACAACCAAAGATGTCTTTAGATTGGTTTCTTCAAAAAAGATCTCTCTCTCTCTCTCAAAAGAGGTCCACAATAAAGCATAAACAAATAAGCTGACACATACACTAGCCAAAACAAACAACAAAAAACTGTCAGAGTTGTTTTTTTGTTGTTGAGCCCAGACAATGATTTGAGGGTTGGCAAAGTGCCTTGTTTACTTTCCTGGTTAAAAGAAGGTAAACTGCATCATCTGGTGTGACCAGATGGAACCAAAGTGCCTTTAAGTATGCAGGTATTGCTTTACTTCAGGATTACCAACTTATGCAACTGTAGTTTCTTCTTTGGCAACATGCTGATTAGTAAAAAATACCTGGGCACTTACTAATTTCATCTAATTCAAAGAGAAAGTTTAGGAGGTCACAAGTTGTGGACTTTGCATCTTGGTTATCACAAAATTAATGACCCAAGGCAATGAAGGCTTTGACTTCATGTGCAGAAGATACATCCTCTCCTGAAGACTGCTTATTCACCTGCCTTCTGACCAGGCTAGTTCAGGAAATCAGGATGTTTGAGAAATTTGAAATCAGACCATCTTTCCTAATACTACCCAAGCTATTTCTGGATAAGTTCTAGCTAAGAACTTCTATCTCTATGACTATCTTGCAAGCAAAATTTATTGTTGAGAGAAAAAAGCCACAACTATACAAACTATTTATGTATATCAGCCATTCTGATTTTTAAAGTTGCATTAAAACACACACTCAAGTTATGAAAATTCTATTTTGTTGCCATGAAACACAAAAACAAGTTCAATATTTAGATTCAAATCTAGAGTGGAATGTGTTTTGGCCAACTTTTGATCCTGGGATAAATGTAGCTATTTAAAATCCTAGAAAGCAGGATTTTATGTGATAAATCTTTATGTGTAAGATGGTCCATAAATTAAGTTAAATTACTTAACTTCTTCCCCCATCATTAGTTCAAATGTACCATTTAATCAAATGACTGGCCTGTTAAGATGATTAAAACTTAAATATAAAACAGAAGAATGCTTACCCTTTATGCAGAATATAACAAATGATCAAAGAATGAGGTTAGATATTTGACATTATATTTATGTATATTTTCCTTAATCTTCTAAATGGCAAGTCCAGCAATAGTTCTCCATTTTACTGCAGTCATCTCAATTGCAATTTCAGGAGACGCAGAACAAACTTACTAATAAACTCCTTTTTTTCTTTTCCCGATTTTTCTGATCTCTTATACAGCATTCCTTGTCATAAGAATGTATTTACATATTTAGATTTTACAATAATGCATGTTGCATCTAAAATATTAATTACCCAAAACAAGTTAAATACCAATACCAACCAAAAATGTCCTTATATTTGTTGCACTGCATTTGCAAAAGAGTTAGGAAAGAGCCCTGGTTGACAGAGTTAAGTTCCTTGGCCAAAAAAGGTGTGTTTTGTTTTGTTTTATTTTCAATTGACCATAGTTAATTAAATAACCAATATTAACTGCAAATTAGCTTGAACTTTTTTTAATGTGAAAAAATTGAAGATCATATACAAACCAAATTCATGTAATATTTCCTTTAGTGTTTAATATTTTCTAAGTAGCCATAGCATTTTCATATAGAAAGTGAGACCAGAACTTTTGAAGAGAACTGGGATTTGGAAATGCAAATGGGGAAATAAGGATGAGGAGGAGTATAAATTAGAATCTGGTATGCTATGCACTACTTACCTTCAAAAGTCAAATAAAACTTTCCTCTGTCAAACCAAACGAGGGAAGGCTGTTCATTCTCTGTATGGCCAGGAGTTGAAGCGGGATGGGAAGGGTTAAGGAAAGGGAGAGAGAAGGACACAATGTGAGTTACAGAGCAGGTCATTAATCTCACTATAGGGAAGGGTGGAGGCACTACATGCCATTAGCGTGCAGGAAAAAGGGAAGGCTGGCAATCTACACTTTTTTTTTTTTTTTTAGTTCAGGAAACAGAAAGCAAAAGCAAAGCTATGGAGGCCTAAAGGAATGGGAATGTGTTGGTGGTCGCTTGATACTTGGTGCTTGTGTGCATGGAGCAGAAGTCTTCCTGGCCATGCAGGGGCGTCAGCATATTTTAACTGCACTAATTTGGGCAAACTGTCATTCAGCAATTGCTGTATCCATTTCATCTTCAATGTCATCCCCTTCTATGTTTCCAAAAAGATAAACTCAGAGTTATGGATTGTAGAAAACATTAGCTTAGGTTTTAAATGACAAAGCATTGCATATCAATATAAATTTCAGGGAAGATGTCACATATCTTCCATCCCCTCCCTTGGAATCACCTTAGGCATCCAGACACAAAACACCCTTTACCTATGTATCAAAGAGAAAACAAGATTACTAATGATGCTCTATTATTTTTTAAATTAAAAAGCAGTGACCGGACATGTAATTCTGAGCAGTTAAATTATTCTTTCCTTTGTAAATTCACAAAGCAATAGCATCTCACCTTTTTTGAACCTCTTCACTGAGAAACTGTCATGCAACCTGCTGTTTTTGAATATAGTCACTTAAAAATTTTCAGTGGCACGAGTTCCATGATGAACAGTAAATATACAGGGTGCATCTGAGAGGCACTGGACACTCATGAGGTGAGGGCATGTCCATGAAGTTTATAGCATTCAGATGGATAATGGCTTGGATTTTTGGAATCTAGGTCTCTAGAGATCACTTGGCTAGCACCATACCTGCAGGCGTTTCACAGCGCCTTTCAAACGAGGGCAGTTTGTCATAAAAAACATCGTCTTCTGACACTACGAACCAAAGAAACATAAACGAATGGAAAACAAAAACACAAATACAAATCCCAAATGAAATCAAGAAGCCCACTTTACTGATTGAAACACAGGAATGATTTTAGTGGAAAAAGGAAACAAAACTGAAAACACTGGAATTATGATTACGATATAAAGAAGTGTTTTCTTATTTTGTGATGATTCTATGAGAGGAAATTAAAATGTTAAAAAAAAAAAAAAGCCAGGGTTTAGCATCTGTGAATTTGTCTGAAGTCAGCTCCAGGGAAGAAGTCATGCCCCACCTTCTCTGGGAGTTGCTAAAGGAACTGTCATTAATAATTGACTTATGCAAGTGTATTTCACTCCAACACAATTCTCAAGTGGTCAGACATATGTCCATCAACAAGAATCTCCTGACAGAGCAGTGACAGCTCAACAGGATCACTCAGCATGCACCTTCCTCCCATGGGGAAAGTAGATGCTTTTAACATGGCCATAAAAAAGCAACAGTATAAATCCAAGGTCCCTGTATGAACTATCCCATTTCAGCCTCATCAATATCCAAATTCAATTTGCCTTGCACCTGCCTTTGATAGTTATGGACCGTTAATTTTGAACAGCATTATCATAATTTCATCTTTGTCTATGGTATCCAGCTGTGTCTGAATGTCTTTGTAAATTGGTCACAACATCATGAATTGGTGCTCTGGACTTTAACCAATTCAGCTCTTTATAAGGTCTGTCTTCTCAGCAACTAACAAATGCAAGTAATTGGGATTTTTGACTCTATGTGGGATTTTAAAAAAGTACTCAATGCCACAGGTCTTATGCATACTATTACAACTTTAACAGAAAATTGAATAAAATCTGTACAAAGACCAGTAAGAAAGAAAAATGCAGAGAAGGAAATGGATGAGGGTAGAAAAAATATTCCACAAATAATAATGTTCCTCAGAAAATATTCTATTAGCTTGACTCCATATTTACAATTTAATGATAATATTCCTCATTATCTCTATTGTTATCTCTGTATCTTGAAATGTCAAGGTGCTTGTTTCTTAGAATAACTTTAAGCAATTTCTCTATCCTCATAATATTGATAGGATTTTCCCCCAAATCATATAGTAGAGGTCCTGTGAGCTTTTACTAGTGCAAAAGAAATTACTGTTTTTTATTTATTTATTTATTTATTTATTTATTATTTTTAAAAACTGAGATGAGAATCTTGCTATGTTGCCCAGGCTTGTCCTGAATTCCTGGGGTCATGTAATCCTCCCATCTCAGCTGGCATTACCACCAGATTACCACCGCACACCACCATACCTGGCTCATTGATTCTAAACTGTGCACTTTTTCATATTATAACCTGTCTGAAATAATTAATGTAATAAAAAAACATTTTATCTTAGCTCAACCAGTAGTTTTTCTCCCCTTTCTTAGTCGTATAAAAAATAATGGTACATTTTTCAATCGAGGGTGTCTTCAATTCAATAAAAGGCAGTTGTATAGGAGCTCTTCTTCATTCGAGTGTGACAATACACAAAAAGTCCTGTTTTCACCTGTGGCATCAGATTTGCTATTGTGTAATCACAGCTGTCATGAGAGATTTCATATCCAAAGTCATTTAGGGGCATCTTCTTATATGAATTGCTGTGTAGAAGGTTTAGACTTGCTCTTAAAACTTTAGTTCTTGAATTACTTTAGATTTGCCCCAATTTTGGTTCAAGTACCATAGGAAATGTCAAAAAGAAGTATTGCAGTGGGAGGGAAATGTTGAGCTACCAACCTCAGAGAATTTGCTGCTGAAATTCTCTACCTCCCTCACACCATTTGACTACATTAAGTTGACATTCCAAGTCAGTTATGATTAGGCCCTTTGGTGTTGAACAGCCCATCCTCTCTGGAGAGGAAGAGCAGTGCACAGGAAGTCTGGGGACAGTCAGTCTTGACAATATATTTACTTCGGAGAAAAGTGGCTGTCAGCTGACCCACAGCAGGTGAAAAGACGAGGCAGGAGGGTGAGGAATTCAGCAGGAAGATGGACACCAAATAAACATAACAAAATCAAACAGATTAAATCAGTATGCTCCTTAGTAATGAAGCAATGTGACTATCCTCTTATGTGGCTATTTTTTTTTTAATCCCACTCTGGTTCATCTTGAAGGAACCCATTCCAGATGTGTTAAGAATCAAAGTTTCTGGCCAGGATTTGAGATTTCTGCAGCAGGGAGTATAAAAACACATTGTACAAACATACACAAAGTTCAAATTCTCTCTCTCTCTTTTTTTTTTTTTTGAGATGGAGTCTCACTCTGTCGCCTAGGCTGGAGTATGCAGTGGTACGATCTTGGCTCACTGCAACCTCTGCCTCCCGAGTTCAAGGGATTCTCCTGCCTCAGCCTCCCAAGTGGCTGGGACTACAGGCGCCCACCACCACACCCGGCTAATTTTTGTATTTTTAGTAGAGATGGGGTTTCACTATGTTGGCCAGGCTGGTCTTGAACTCCTGACCTTGTGATCTGCCCGCCTCGGCCTCCCAAAGTGCTGGGATTACAGGCATGAGCCACTGCACTTGGCCAGTTCAAATTCTTTGTGTGTGCTATTTTCTCTATGAATCACAGTGCATTGAAAGAACATGTTACAGGTTTATCTGAGGTCACTTGGGGTCAGCTTTCTGAGTGACAGTTTACTCTTACTTTCCTCTCTGACAGACAAGTCAAATCACATGAAGGAGGTGAAACAACTAATCTAGAAAAAGAGTGGCAGTGTGGGGGATGGCTTATAGCAATCAAGGAGTATTAAGGAGATAGAATTAAAAAAATTACAGAAACAAACAAACAAAACAGAGGGAAATGAGTTACTAGGCATTCAAAGATAGGAAGCCCCAAATTGCCCCAGTTGATGTTGCAGACAGGAGCAAACTTGGCTACATAAATAATGTTAAATATCTGTCTGTTGGTAACTCACAAGAAACTAGGTAACTGGCTCTATTTTCACCAAACTTGAAAGGTTCTTTTGGGAGGATTTGATTAAAGATATAAAGGCACGTGATATAGTTGAAATTCCCTTTGGGGGCCTTAAAAGGCACACCTTAACTTATTTATCTGGGAAAATAGGCAGTTCTTTCTCCAGAAGAGCTTCAGGCTTTGATCAAGCTACTTCTCACATAGGCAACTGGGCAGACTGCTCTTCCGAGAGTAGCAGAAGGAAGTTATTTAGCTTTAGTTAACGATTCTCCCAAGCAATGTGGGATGGGCCAGGTGGTTTACACTATGGAAGAGCCAGAGGGGAGTTCTGACAATAAAGGAAGACAATGGGGAACGGGGATCCCATGGGAAAAATGGAATGGGAAAGCCCTAGGTGGGAGACACCATGCAAAAATGAGAGAGGCAATAGGAACCTGTCTCCTGCTGGGAGGTGGAAAAAGAGAGAGACCAGCTTTGGAAAGGGGGATGATGCTCCAGGCAAAATGAAGCATTGAAACCTTGGAAAACCATCCAGCTGAACAGCCATTCTCAACTCTTTACTTTCGTCACAGCATAAGGAAAGAGGCATAAAGGCATTTCCTGAAAATGCCACCAACGGCTTATTTCTCTGGGAAAACTGACCACACATCACTGAAAAGCACTAGAAAAAAAAATGTCGAAAAGTTTGCTCAAGTCTCACAGTGCCGATGTTTATATCATCTGTCAACATAAGGACAACCAAAAATGATGAAGAAATGAAAGCTTCAAGAAAATACAAGTTCTAAATTTTGTGATTTCTGATGTGGTTCATGGTTGGAATTTAAACAAACATTTCCCCTCAAAGGAGACTATTTTTATTTTAAGAAATAATATCTAAATTACAAGACCTTCCTTGGCGATTTCTTACTTATTTTTTGAATAGCTCTGTATGGAACAGCATAAGAAAATTCCTGCAAAACACAGGTGTTAATGTTCTTTTATTTGTTCATTTGCTTAGGTAAAGCACTTTGCCTCCTTTGCTGAGAAGGTGGTTTTAAAAGAAGAGTCAGGTAATAGTAGCAAAACACACAGCAAAACAATTTCAACCAGAAACACAGGGCCTTGGGGATTTCAGATCATAAAAAATAGCCAGTCAAAACCACAAACGGATTAAAAGAGAGGAGAGAATTTTTACCAACTGTGGGAGTGGTGGCTGCGCTCAAGGAATTGGTTGACGATATTGAAGAAGTGCTTTCAGCCCGCGCTAAGGGTGCTATTGGAGGAGGGCTGGAAGAATGAATGGGAGGGCTAAAAGGTCTGGACTGTAAGGAGAAGAAAAGAGATGAAAAGTTAGATACACAGGTTGCAGTATTTTTGCTCCATATTTTTAATGTCTCCCAGCCCCAGATATGACAACTTAGGTATCTGAAGAATAGATGACACCATTTTTACACTGAAATTAATTCTATCTATATGAGAGTTTGTGGAATGGAGCTGGAGAAACGATAAACCATAACATGCTAAAGCTGAGCTTAGCGAAGCTGGGATCTGTGACACGGTCAGTGGGTCTGTTTCAGGACTGAACTCACATGCCCTCAGGGACTCAGCAGGTAACACAGAGTGAGAACTCATACTCGTCTAAAGCTAACGACTTTAGACGTTAGCCCAGCCAAATGCTATGGACATCATTTGTTTCTGACTCCTGTGTGCAAATGCCAAAGAAATCTACTTCTGCCACAAGTCTCTCTTAATTGTTCACACAGAATGTTTTCCACTCCTCAGCCTTAAAACACAAGGCAAGAAACTTCTGCAACAAATTCCTCAAGCCACCACTCCTTCACTGTATATTCACATCATGTGCCTACAATCAATATGTCATCTGTATTCTGGGATCAGAAACCAGGATTTGCCCTCTCTTGGAGTTTTCTAATATCAGACAAATACTGTGAAACACCTCTCTTTCTATGAATGTTACTATCGTCATTTGTATCTAACCCACTGTAGCAGAGGTAAGGGTCCAAGCGTACCATTCCTGTCATTTTAGACCTTGGCTTGAAAGATGGTAGAAATTTGAGGAGGGTTGAAATGTACACTCATACCGCAGTGACTGTCTTTCAGATGCCACCTGTCAGGGTTGTTTGTACGAGTTCTCTAAACGCTTAGACCTGAAGGCATTTGGAGCTTCTGTTTGTCATTCTCACTGTTTCTGAGCAAGCCAGGGCAGAAGGGAACATACCACATCTCCAACTCCAGGTTTTCCTGGAGGTAGCTTTGGCCGGGATGGAGGCCGGGGAGGAGGTGGAGGTGGAGTGGTACTTCTGCAAGGAACCAAAGGAGTGGCTGGTCGAGCAGGGGATGATGCACCTGAAAAACAAACTAGCATTAAAATGGCTGGAAACACAGGGGGCCAAAGCGCTGTTATCACAGTATAATGCCAGTCCCGGACATTTTTTTTTTTTTTTTTGCCTTGGCAGTTACTACACTAAACACTGTAGCACTTTCTTTTTTCTCTTTTTTTTCTTAATAAAGAAAAAAAATTAATGATTTCAGCTATGGTTGATGGTAGAAGCTCATTGCCTTTTGTTGTCATGTGACACCCAGTGAAAGGTAAATCCTTTTATTGCTCTATGACAGAGGTAAGGTCTTAAGACTCTCTGCTGCATGGTAGGTACCTTTCATTATCATCACATACACATTAAACACATAATAAATTCTCTTGCATTTTGCATGTATGTAGAATTTATGTCCAAGATGAAAATGGAGGTTAGAACTTGAAGGAAGATGAATGATTTTTCCATTTTAGGTTTTTCTTCTTTAAATGTGGTTAAGAGAATTATGCTTTTGACTGTGGTCAAGCTATGAGCACCAACTTTATCAATGTACCCAAACACTGGATGGTAAGCAAAAGACAAAATATGAGAAAATAGATTAGATGTTGCATGAATACTTTGTATTTAGAATCTTGATAACAGACATGCACTGAATTTAGAGGATTTTATTTTGTGAAGGAGGCTGCTTGGGAATCTGTCAATGCAGAGTTTGCCCATGACGATTTTTGAAAGAGCTTCTTGGATTTACTTTTCTGGCTGTCAATGACAAACGTATGAAACACAGAAGACACACAGAGGCTGGCATGCACATCAGTCAGCACACCAGTGGGGTCTCTGGATTCAGGCATCTGCCTAACTTCAGTCATATGTCTGAGATACACAAGGAAACTTGACCAAAAACCTTTAAAAAGTCAAATCAACGTTCAAACCGTTCTTGTTCAGAAAAGTTCTGACTACTCCTGAGGTTTTTGTCACTTCCGTTAGAAGCACAGGTCTCAAATCATCCCAAGAAAATTCTAAGAAATCCTGCCCTGGGAAAATATCCACACTTCATCCCCCACACCTGCCACCCCCTTACCACCTCCCAAACAACACATCACAAAACTGGGATCTCTGGAGAGTTTTTATATCAGCATCTCAGTCTCCAAATTCTCAGACTCTCAAAAGCTTTGAAGTTGAGCAGCAAAACCTATCATTTCAGAAATCTGCTGTGTTTTAGGAGAGTCCCTGGGGGATTAAACCTTGCTCCTCTTGTTTAAATAATCTGAAATCCTGAGTGTGTTTCTCTGTGCTGTTTATTCTATGTGTAATCACATTCGTGTGAAACCTACTAATTATTACCCCTGCTCCCTCTCTGTCTCCACCTTCCTCTACCACTACCATCTGTATTCTTACTTTTTATTCTCCACTGGGCCAAGGTCTACGCTAAGCACTTTACATGTATGATCTTATTCCCCTGATAAGCTTTGGAGGTAGGTATTGTTAGGTATCTATGTGGAATCTGAAGCTGAGAGATATTCAGTAACTTGTCTCAGGTCATATAGCTCAAACTGTGTATGTACCTCCAAAGCTCACGCTCTTAAATGCAATCTCTTATAGCTTGAGATGGACTGTGGACTGTGGTGTATAGTCCCACATTTTGCATAAAGTCTGTTCTTATTTTTGCTTGGCTTGCACATCTCTCTCTCAATATAGATATTTTTAGTCTTTGGCTAGTCTTCTCTTAAAAAAAAAAGGTATGTTTTGACAGGCCCCACTACAAAGTTTTCTTTTGATTATTGTGTCAGATTTTCACCCAGGATGTTTTCAGAAGACGGAAGTAACAGCATAGGGATCAATAAATCTTTAAACAGTGAAGTCTCAGGACATTTTTTTTTTTTTTTGGTGTTGATGGAGGAGGAGGTGTTCTATTTAGCTTCGTGAAAACCATGCATAGGAAAGGTCCAAAATGTCTATCTGTAGGTCTGTTTCCAAGAAGTAGTCTTTTGAATTGATCTAAAAATAAAAAAAGCCAACTGTTTATCCTTTTCCTACATGCTCCAGAAAAAAGAAATTTAAACTCCTTTTAGTGATGCCTGGGAAAGTACTAAGGAGACTTCACCAAGGCAGTGTGGAATATTGAAAAACACTGGATGAAGAACCAGATGATTTGAGTTCTGGCCCTACTGGCCTGAAACCTCAGCTTCCTTGTTTTAAACAGTGAGGCCTTGTTTCTACCTTACAAGGTATTTGTAACTAATTGAAAATGCTTGTGAAAATGTTGACTATATAAAATGCTACACAAATAGAAAGTAGTAGATACCCGTGATGATGATTAAGATTGTGTTTTTTGATACAAATACAACTAACAAGTCAAAAAAAAGTTCGTTGTTCATTGAAAAGTTAATTGTTTTCCTTTACGGATGCCCCATTGAAATCACTTTTTCTGTACTGATTTGAAGTAATTGATTTCTTGTGCAGCTAGAACGACATTAAGAGAATGTCTAAGAAGCAAAAGGATATTTCAGTTAAAACCCTGCTTGACCAAACCCTGAGGCTTAGCAGGGGATGTTCAGGGCCTGAGGGGTATTTCACAACTGAACAAAGGCTTCACATACTTTCGTGAAATTATTCAATTGTTACACATTTTAAGAGTGTAGATGGCTATCATTTGCACATCTCTATCCTCACTCTTCAATTTTCAATTGCATTTTCATTTCCCCCTTAGAAAAGTGTTTATTTCCAGAACAATGCTGGAAAATGATTTGGACAGCAACACTGTTTAAGATTTAACTTTAAAACCCAAAATACACTGAGTTTTGTGAGTTAAAAAAGGTTGGCAACGATTGACATGCTCTCAATCCATTTGTTGTTCTCAACCTGGTCTAATCAATGTGCTTGGCAACCCCCGAAGACCATGTGTCTACCGCTTCAACTTTCATCTCTTTTTTTATGTGTGTGTTGGGCTGGAGCAGTGGAAGCAGCTGGGAGAAGTGGTCAAGGCACAGGCCGTGGAATCCAACAGATCTGGGACCATAACCTGGCTCTGCTACTTACTAGCTTTGTGACCACAGCTAAGTTACCTTTTTAAACTACAGTTTCCTAATCCACAAAATGAGGCTAATAGTTCATGCTGTTGCTGGGAGAATCAAGTGAATTAAAACATATGCACTTTGAGATATGTGAAAAACTAAACAACCTTTCCCAAATTGTGTTTCTTAGACCATAATGATACCATTTCTTTGAACAAACCACTAAATATGTATGTAAATGATTGTATGCTATGTTTCTCTTTTTGATGACTAACACATTAAAAGCCCTGAAACATTACTAATAGAGCTGTCTGCAATGGTGAAAATATTCTAGAACTGTCTAATAAGATAGTTGCTAGCCACATATAGCCACTGAGCACTTGAATTGTGGCTGCTGTATCTAAAGAATGAACTTTTTATATTAATGTTAAGCAACTAAAATTATAATTAAAATAACCACATGCGGCTAGGTACTACTGTATTGGACATTGCTGCTCTAAAAGACTTGTAGTTAGGAAATATATTCAGTTAATTCAACCCTAGGTAGCTCAGACTAATTTGTTTATTGACTGTGTGTTTGCATATAACATCTTTAGTTTCCCAAGTTGGAAAATGTTGCACTGAACATTCTTTCTTTACTTACTCCTTTCTTTCCCTGGCCCTCAAACATGGTGCAAGCCAACAAAACTCTTTGCCTCCAGCCTCTGGCACACAACCCACATGGGAGAAGAGAGACTTTGCCAAGAACCAGCATTCCAGTAAAGTACTGTTCTGGCCAAAACAGGTATTTATAACTTTTGACATAAGGAAATTGAAGTTATTGGAGCAAATTCTTAACTTCCAACTGCTTTTCAATAGCAGGTACCTCTTCTGATTCACAAGGTTATCAGTACTGTCTATACTTGGTCAGTGACAATCACCTTGCTGTGAATAAAATTTTAAAAATGAGTGCATAGTGGTATACAATTAAATATGCTTCGAGAAATACAAGAAAGTTAGTTTAATCAGGCCTAATGTTATGAAAAGCAGGTAGTGAGAAGCACTGCTAATCTTTAAAACATGAGGCCATACCCTATTGTTTCAATCTTAAATTTATATTTCTTCCAGCTTGTATATGTTCCACCAATAAAAGATTAAGCAGCAAATAAACTGGGACTTACTTAAAGAGATAATACTGCAGAGTTTTATTTATTCACAAACTTCAGTGGCCCAGTTCAATTTTCTACGTAGAAATCCAATCTTTAAATACCAGTAAAGTCAAGCTTTTTCCAGCTTAATTATGAAGAATCAAGAGTCTTTACTGGTGACATTTTAAAATAATTTCAAATAAAGGTATGGAAGCTAAACATTAAAATCACAACAAAACTCTCAAAAATTCCAGAAAGAAAACAAAGTTTCCTTTCTTCCTAATTAGATCAGTGGTAAATTCAATTGAACAAATATCTTCGAGAGCTTTATGAAAGGTGTTAGATGAAACACAGATGAATTACCAAAGCCACCTGTCCTCTCTACTCCTGATAAAGATGTTTCCTTTGAGGACAGCATTGTGGCCTACCCTTGGAGGGAAGTGGGTGTTCTTTAAATGTCCTTTTAGGAGACTGAGAGTCTGGCTTAAGAGAGCTGCATAGAAAATAAAAGTACACACCCCTCTTTTATAACGGACGAGTAATGTCTTTGGGTTTGTGGTTTGGAGGATTTACATAGTGGTTCTTTATTATCTTTACAGGTAGATAAGGAGCTTTGTATCCCCTCAAAGACCTGAAAGAACAATAGAGGGATGGAGATGGATGCTGTAACCCTCTAGAATTAGAGGAGCACAGACGAGTACATTTTGAGAGAAGACTTTTGGTGATCTTGTCGATGACACTGTGCAGTGTAGATGGGTGTCAGTAGTCAAATAAGTTTGGAATATTTATGACCAAACCTTACAAAAGTGCCTGGAGAGCACACTGGTTAACAACATAGGCTCCAGCTCAGACAGACCTGAGTATGAATCCAGTTCATTGCCTCCAGCTTGTAAACTTGGGCAAATTACTTGATATCTCTGAGCCTCAGTTTTCCCATCTGTAAAAAGGGAAAGATAACAGTATCTACCACAGGGTGGTGTTGTATGAAATAATGTACAAAAAGCATTTAGGGCCAAAAAGCATTTAGGGCTGGGCGCGGTAGCTCAAGCCTATAATCCCAGCACTTTGGGAGGCTGAGGCAGGTGGGTCACTTGAGGCCAGGAGTTCGAGACCAGCCTAGCCAATATGGTGAAACTCTGTCTCTACTGAAAACCCTGTCTCTACTGAAAAAAAGTAGCTGGGTCTGGTGGCACACACCTATAATCCCAGCTACTCAGGAGGCTAAGGCAGGAGAATTGCTTGAACCCGGAGGCGGAGGTTACAGTGAGCTGAGATGTACTGCACTCCAGCCTGGGCATCAGAGCAAGACCTTGTCAAAAAAAAAAAAAAAAAAAAAAAAAAAAGAAAAGAAACAAACAAACAGTGTGGTGCCCAGGATAAGAAACTGTGGTTTCTACTATTTGCAAAATAAAGGCTCCCAAAGGTCTTATGGTAAAAATACTTGCTGATTTTGAATAGTTTTCCTTTTGAGGGGAAGAGGACCTGGAAGCATACACATCTAAAGATATAAAGCACTGGTTTTGTGTGCAGTACGGGTGAACTCCTAGCACTCTTCTTGATCACCACGGATGCTCTCACTTTAAGCACAGAAGCATTTGCAAGCACAGAGCAAGTTCTGCAAGACCTCATTGAAAGAGGCAGTGATGATGACTGAATATTAGAATTTCTGTCTCTTACTAGATTTAAGTACCTTACACTTTATTGCCTCTTTCACAGCAAAAGGAAAAACAAATACATGGCACCCCCTGAAGGCCCCTAAACTGAACCCACATGCACAGGAAGGAAAGCGCTGGGGGATGTTGTCAGACAAATTTGGGCAACAGTGGAATAAATGATATGGGGGAAGATGCATTTGAAAATATTGATATTGCTTTGGTATGCATGGTAGGTGTTACTATACTTTCATAATTAAAACACACAAAATGAAGCTTCAAATAAGCAAAAGAAAATTCAGTATCAGAATTGGCATAGAGTCCATCACCTGTCACCACACTTAGAGTTGACCTATAGCCTGATGAGTGTGTCAACTGGTGAGAACAGAGATCAAGTTTGTCTTCAGTGACAGCTTGATTGGATTACAGATGCAATATATGTATCCCATTTTTTTTCTTTTGCTTCTTCCTAAAATCTCCTTTTCAAACCTTATGTCTTTTTAAAGAAATTAGAGGGGTTAACGTGGTTCTTCCACAACCAAAAAAGAAAAGAAAAAAATAGAAAAAAAAAAGAAGCCCACCCACCCCCTCCTGCTTGCCTACATACACACATAACACATTGGCCCACAAAACCTAGTGTCCTTGTGGGGGCATCCGACAAGGAAATCAGACATTTAACATGAAACCCACTCTCTGTGAAATCTGTCTTCCTAGAACTTTCCTGAATTCCAAACAATGGCATGACAGCTTTGTTTTAGAAATCAAGACCTCTTAACTGCAGCGTGGATGGCAGGGCACACCTAAGGGCTGGGAGTGCAAGGCAGAACACATCCACAGACTTGGACCATGACTGTGAGCATCTGATGGACTAGGACATGCTGTGGGGCCACAGGACACCCAGACTAGAGGAGTGAGGGCTGAAGCTCTGAAGCCAGCTGCCAGGCAGGAGGACGGTGTTGCTCACACTGCAGCAGCCATGGCCATTCCCCGTCACAAGAAGCACACTCAAGCATAAGACATACCACTGGTGGTCCCCGGACCAGGGCCCGAGCCAGGTCCGGGGGACGAAACCACAGTCCTGTAGGTGGGTGGTGGTGGGGGAGGTGGAGTTGCTCTTTGTCCCAACCCAAAATCTTTAGGAGATGAGATTGTTTCTAAGTAATCATCTTTAATGAAGGTCTGCTCAGCGACTTTCTTCTGGACTTCTTCTAAATTGAGCGGCGATAGTACATTGCGAGGAGGCCCAGGAGGCCCTGGGGGGCCTGTGGGACCTGGGGGGCCGAGAGGGCCTGGAGCTGGGGAGTCAGCTGGGTTGTCTGGTGTAGCTGGTGGGGACACCACTTTTTCCCTTGGAGTCAACTCCGGAGTAACATGTTCCGGGGATGTATCAGAAAAATGGACCCACTTTTCTTCAGCATTAACAGCAACAGACTTGGGGGACAATACTGGCCCAAAAATGCTGTCCAAGTCATTGATGGATGGTAGTTTTTCAATTTTGACCTCTGTGGCTGACTGGTCATTTCCTGTGGTTAAAGTAGTTGATTTTAAACTTTAATTGACTTATTATTTGTGTGGGGAGTGAGGGAGGGAGGCAAAGACTGGAAAATACATTGGTGTCTGAGGTGCCTCAGTGGGCATACTTCATGATGTAAAAATATCTTTATTGGATTAGGAGCCTAAGGTGAGGGGAGAGATCCCCCCTCCACAAAGTGAGCATCATATTTTTATGCTATTGTTTACTCTTTTTTGCAAGCTGAGCACAGCTAGCTACTTTGACCATCATGTAAAGTGCTGTGCATGATACTGCTCTCGAAGGCTGCTCACAGGTGCACCAAGTGTGATCATTTTGAGAAGGCAGTATTAGATTCACAGAAAAGTACAGGCTCTGGGACTGCAAATTCCAAAAGCAAGGTCCCTTCTGAAAATCTGGCCTAATAAAATACACATCACACAATATAAGAATTGAGAAGTCAAAGTTGGCCTCACATTTTATAAAGATTGTCTACTCTTGTATATTAAATCAAGACTTTGGTGAAACTGATTATAATATTTGTTAATTTTAAGAAGTGATCACATCGTATTTAGCTGTATATCCTCAACCTTAAAAAACACCAGAAACACAGTACAAAGATTAAGAAGGTATCACCACAAAGATACTTACAAATACAGATATATACACCCCACACACAACACACACATAGATTATTGAGGAGGCATTTGCTACTTATTAGAACTGTTACATATATACCTGCTTAATGGAGAAGAAAATAATTTAAAAATTTTTAAATAATTTCTTTTCTCATTAAGTCTAACCTGTCAACCTCATAAGCATAACTGTGATATTTATCTATATGTTGTCATGATACCAACATGTCTGTTTTGCTAAAATATTAGCATAAGCTATTCTTTTTAACTCATAGCAATAATAAGAGAAAAAATTAAGAATGATCTTCTACAGCTCTGTATGAAGAACTGCACTTTTTAAAAACTGAGATTATTCACATTACAAATTGCTACCTAAATAACTGGAAGGCATGAACAGAAGTCACTTTACCTTTATATAACTCTTGGGCTATATGAGCCATCTTAGTATTTCTATATTTCTAGCTTGAAAGGAATTAACTTTCAAGGTTCCAAGGCTACAGATAAATGGGGAAGCATTTTGCATAGTCCGCAATATTTATAATCTTGTGCTAGTAGGTATATTTATATCTAACACAATTTGTGGAAATAAAAGGGGCCAAAATGTCTTGAACCTGCAAACATCTTTACTTATGAAGCTCTGGATGACTCTCTATTGGGTTTGAGTCAATATAAATTTCATAAATAACTACATCGTGCTTTTGCTTTTGTTGATGAATGCCCCACTCTGCAGCTATCAAACTCACCAGGCTGCATAAATAGCAAAGGATGAAGCTGCAACAGAATTCCGAAGGTGATAAAGAACCACATTCTAAGGGCCCAGGCACATAACAGCTATTACTACTTTTGATTTGCTAGTCCAGTAAGACTTGGCAGACTATAAATTGTATGAATACATAGTATTGATTTTAATAGATGGTAAAGGTGTGCCTTAAGCATTATCTGTCTACAGGTGTGTAGCAATTCCTTGCCATATTTCATAATCTTTACATATCTCCTTGCCATGAGATAATAAATACTTGAATGAAAAAGAATTTCCCCACCACCAGTATGCTGCACACCCTGGGAACCATTTTATGTCTTCATAGACTAGATAGTTTTAGACTTAGCAAAATTCTCTTGAAAAAATACCAACTGTGCTTTGAGACTATGAATTTGTAAATCATTAAAACGAGATCCAACGAAGTGAGGGGTTAATTAAACAATGAATTTTCATATTGAGATTTTTTTCATTTCGTGTTACAAAATGTCCCTCATTCAACAAAATTATACCAAGGAAAAATTAACTGAGAAATTATTACTTTTTTGTGTGTGTGAAACCTGGAAGTGGTGCTTTAAAATAAGTCTGCATAAGAAATTCTAATGAAAGCAAAACTGAATGCCAACATTGTGATGTTTTTGTGTAGCCTACAGTTTTCAACACATCAAGGGCATGTTCATCCGGGGCCACTGCTCTGTTTGACACATCATCCCAGAACTGAAAAAACAAAAGCGTACCTGGTCCAATTGTTAAGGGGGATCCTGTTCGGGGTGGGGTAGCTGGTACATTTTTTGGAGGCAGTGGTGGAGGTGCTGCAAAAAGATGAGAAATTAAGTATCATTGGTCATGTGCTTCCTAAGTCATACAATACACTTTAAATAAGCAGGATTTGGGCTTTCAGTTATATTCCTGCTATTGGAAATGGAATAGCAATTAATGGTCTACTTCTTTGAAGTTCAAAGCCAAAGAACTGAGGCAGAACCCATTCAGATTGTTCCATTTTATGAGAATAAGAGAACGTCAAGAGAATGTTGGACAGTAATAATAATATCACCATTTTATTCATGTAAATATGATTCAACACACAAACCTCAAGCAGCAACTACGTCCTACCTCCTGTACTAGGAACTAGGGTCATAGGGTTGAATAAAAATAGTCTTTGGCCTCAAGGGATTTATGACTGACTGAATGAAATCATGTCCGCTGACAGTTACAGTCGAGGGTTTGATAACGGAAATCACAGGTTGGGTGGGGGCTCCTGTGAGGGGTTTTTAATCCAGTCAGGATCTTAGTGTCCAGATTGAGTTGGGAAAGATTTCTCAAAATTATATTTCTTAAATTTTAGTACATTTTTTAAAGTTAGAAGCAAACTAACTGCTTGGGTCAAGGAGGAATGAACAGATTCCTTTGACAAAAATTACAGCCAAATCAAGTATCATGGTCCCTACGAAGAGATTCACCCTTCTGAGCTGGACTTGTCACTTTGTGGGCAAAGTTTGGAATTACTGTTTCAACTGGTTCATTTCTTCTTCCTCTTTCTTTAAGTGTATGTTTTCTTGTCACTGGTCCTATCTGGTAGATTCAAAGAGTTCACACTAATTTCACAGGCCATCCCAAAGTTTAGCTGTGAATCTGAATGCCGTCCAATCTCTCATAACCTAAACGCAGAGGGAGGCAGGTAGGCACATGGCTGGAGAGCGCTTGCTGGTACCTTCCACTTGCCTAAATTAGGAAGAAGCTTTTTCTGTCATTCCTCCCTCCTCCTCCCCTTCCCGTACTTTATTTATTATTTTTAGGTAGCATCCTGTTCTTCCACACAATAAGTATGACTAACAACCCTCATCCTAAAGCCTAGGAATATGTGGTTCTTAATCTTAATTATGAGCTTCTGAAAGCTACACCTCTAGTGGACCATATTTTCCCACAGAAGTTAAGAGTCAATCAGGGGCTCTGCTCCTGATTAAGGATCTCTGCCAAAAATCAAGGTCATAATCAACAAAATACCATAAAAACAAATAAAATACTGTAAAAGCCTAATAAGCTAAAATAGAAAACTTATGCTGCAACTACAACATGAGCAGAATGATATAATGCACATCAATTAAACAACAGCCTGTGCTGTGCTAAGTGTAACCACAGCACGTAAGACTCACAGCTCTGAAATACCAATAGTTAAAACCAATACATCACCTCCATAAACAATTCATTTACTTTCTTGGCATTTAGGAAAGGGTTTTCTAGGGATCACTTGCATAGCTCAGGTCTGTAAAGAAAGCTTTTCAAGGAAGTTACAGCTTTTTCACTAGTTTTGTTTTGCAGGGGAAAACATTCAAAATCATGCCACTGTGGTTCAAATATTTTAAAAATACATTTTTCAAAGTTCAGAAGTTTTTAAAAAATTGTTGATAATGATGTTTTTCCTATCCTGTTTAATGAGGGAAATATCTTTGGAAAGGCTAGATCACACGGCTTTATAGCAATAATATTTCCAACAAACAACCTCTTGGCCTTTGATTATGAATCCCCGCGGTTAATTCTCATGATCACCTTTAGGCACCAAGGCGTAAGCTCTGGAGATGCTGAACTGGAAAAAGTATTGGTTGGTCTGTATGTGAGCCCAAAGGAGTAAAAACATCCTCTGCATCTCTCTCCTCCCCAAACACCTTTTTTTGAAAAGAGTGCTTTCCACAGGCATGCTTCAGAGGCAGTCTACTGAAAAGGGAATTCAATAAATCTTTAAGAAGGGTGGCTTTACCTGATGAACAATCCATTCAGTCCAAATAGCCCAACCCACCACCGGTGAACGGCTATCTGGATCTTCAGGACCTCCTTTCCCAGACGCCTGGGTCATGCTGGAAGAAGCCAGACTGATGGCAACTTTCACATACATTTACTCTGATCTACTATCTCAGCTTCTCTCTACCATATAGCCTCAGTTCTCTTGTTCCCCAATTGTCACTCTTTCCTATCAATGTGTCCTTTCTGTCCTGTGCAGCCTCAGTTGCTCTATAGGATGAGCAGAGACCGTATTAGACTTGTTCACCTCTGTGTTATATGATAGCCTAATGCCTGGAATGCAGTAGTTTCTTTAGCTCCCTTGCTTCTTATTCTTACTTACGTACAATGAATAAATGAATGAATAAGCATGTGGGATTTCAGAAAAGGCTATGATTCAAGGTTAATAATTTGCTTTATTATGTTATTTTCTTCCTGTCTTCATAACCTGCCCTGAGTTCTTTAACTTGAAAGCCTGTTAGAATAACATCTCTTCTTAATATTATTCAGTTCTAATGTTGCTTACATAGACTTTTTAAGAGTTGCCTAATTTCACTATGCAGACAGACACTAAAATGAGTCACTTATTTTTCCAGACAGAGCAGACACATAACTTACTTCCAGTGGGAAAAGGCCTTGTTAACTTTGGCGACTCCATGCTTGGATTAATTGGTTGGCCTGAACCCCATATCTCAGGCTGATCTAAAAGAACTGGAAACAAAAAAGAAGATTTCCCAGGGTGAGTTAAAAAAAATCCCCATACTTTAGAACTTAAAATTTCGATTTCAAGTTGAGCTTTACAAAATTATTTTCCTCTTGTCTCAGTACTAAAAAATTAACTTAGGAATGTGCTGCTCCTTATTCTTTTCAAGCAGAGAATAGAAATAGGAGTGTGGTGTGAGTGTGGGTGGGAGGAGTGTCTGTGTGTGTACATATAGCTACATAAAAACTTTCAGAGCAGAATCTGCATTTGCTTCCTGGGTGGTCACGTAAGGACATTCTGAGTATCAGTACATGTACTGGCTCTGTTTCAGGTACCCATTTGAAAATCCAGACATTAACCCCATGAACATTTGTTTTGCTGTAAGTTGGTTGATTTAAAGCCTCCTATAAATATGCTTCAAAACTGAAAACGCCTGCATTCTATGCAGTGGTTCCTATCCTTGAAGGGTCTTTACATAAACCTTTTACAGCATCATAAAAAGAAACTAAACTATCCTAAAAACACTTGGTGAATATGTTAAGAGAACCAGAAAAATGAGTGCTTAGGCACCGAACATAGGGCAATTAGGTTTTGGGCCTAAGGACACTGAATTTAACATTTCTTCTCTTTCTTTTTGCTTCCTGTTCTGATTATTAAAAATACCTATGATAATGCAAATAGTTAGTGCTTCTCAGTACCTATCCTGTGGCAGGGACTATGCAAGTACTGCTGTAATTCATTATGTTGTCTAGGACAGGCTGGGAAGTCAGTTGGATGTGGTTTGAATCTATCCTCTGCACTGACCGTAGGACCTTGGCAGGTTGCTTAACCTCTCTGCGCTGCCTTCCTTTAGTGTAAAGTGGAGATAATAAAAGCAACCTTAGAGAGTTATGAAGAGGATTAACAGAGGAAAGATATATGAATAGAGTATATATAAAATGTCTATAAAACACGTATCACAAGGCCAGTAGCTGTTACTGTCTATTTGAATACTCTTACCACCACTATGTGGTTGATACCAGTTCCACTTATGGGAGAGGAAAATAGTGATAGGAGTGGTTTAATGAGGTGTCCACGGTAAAAGCAGAAGAGCTAAGATCTGATGTAGCAGACTTTTAACTCTAAAATACATATTTTTTCCCCAGACCATTTCAACTAGTGATAGAAAGATCTTTCTAGGCCAGGCATGGTGGCTCACAGCTGTAATTCCAGCACTTTGGGAGGCTGAGGTGGGAGGATTACATGAGTCCAGGAGTTCGAGACCAGCTGGGCAACATGGTGAAACCCAGTCTCTACAAAAAATACAAAAATTAGTCAGGTGGGGTGGCATGTGCCTGTGATCCCAGCTACTCTGGGGGCTGAGGTGGGAGGATCGCTGTGGGAGGTCGAGGCTGCAGTGAGCTAAGAACTTGCCACTGTATTCCAGCCTGGGTGACAGAGTGAGATTCTGTCAAAAAAAAAAAAAAAAAAGAAAGAAAAAGAAAAAGAAAAACAACGAAAAAGAAAGACAGAAAGAAAAAGAAAAATCAATCTAAAGAAGAATGAGTAGATACAAAAGGGAAGTGTGGGTATCGAAAAAGCTAGTGTGATCGGTGCAAAGGCAGGAACTTTACAGAAGTTCAGGGGCTGAAATCATCTAAAGAACAACTGAGGCCACAGTCATGGACAGGTCTGGGTGTGTATCTCCTCCCCACCACAAGCCTCAAAGGTGGACTTCGCTCTGTTTTAACATGAAAGCAAACATTCTCCAAAGATACGAAGCAGCATTTTCTTCATGAATTCCATGTGGAACACAGCTATGATTTTTAAGAATGATTTCTATGTTTTACATAAAGTTTTCATATAGTTATGGGATTCCTTAAACGGGCAGATGTAGGTGCAACAAATCAAATCCCGTCTCCAGTCACCATACGATATGTCATTAAGAGTGAGATTGATCACAGATGAGTTAATAAGGAAACTGATAGCCTCACTGCAAGGCCACCTTTACATAGGGATTCTAAGTTATGGACATTAAAATCATTAAGGAGTATTTAGAAATGTTCTTTGTACAGTTTCCTAACAAAATCATTGAAAATATTCAGGTGTGGCTGACTGCTGGCTATCTCCCAGAATTCATTCTCCAGTTCTTCTATAGTAACAGAATTTTAGCTGGCTACATAGCACCAAATTCTCTCCAGTGGGGTTTGGCAGGAAGTGACTTGTATCTCTTCTAGTTTTGCTCTTAGAATAGTTAGCAGTGAGTTCCAGTGGTCCTCACCCCACTTCCTTTCTTCTGAATGGGAGGGGAGGAGAGCTGCAGCAGCCTCCTTGGAGCCAGAGATAAAAGTAACATTTTAAAGACAACAGAACTACTTTACCAGTCCTATATTGTTTACTTCCAGACAGTTAACCTGAAAGAGTAATAAAATTCCATCTTGTTTAATTTATTGTACTTGGGGTCTCTTTGTTAATGTAGCTTAGTCTACCCACTATGCTTCCAATTCTTTAACACTTAAGGCCCTTCACCAATAGGTCCTAGAAGGATAACATGTTATTATACATTTACCATGGTGCCCCTAAGTCAAATAATTTTTTATAAAAACATTCTATATTACCAAACATAGCTATTGGAAATACATGCATTAGACATAAACACATTTCAGGGATAGATAAGATCCATTTTATAGAGAGCTGATTTTATGTCAGTAAAGTACACGGTATTTACAGCCATCCAAAAACATGGTTAATTTAAAAATGTTAAATGTTTAACTCTAGGAATAAATATTTAATAAGTAAACTCAAAAATAATGGCAGAAATAAAGATATTTCTTCAGTAGCATTTTATTTTATTTTATTTTATTTGAGGTGGGGTCTTGCTGTGCTGCTCGGGCTGGAGTGCAATGGTGTGATCACAGCTCACTGCAGCCTTGACTTCCTGGGCTTAAGTGAACCTCCCACCTCAGCCTCCCGAGCAGCTGGGCCTACAGGCATGCACCACCATGCCCGGCTAATTTTAAAAATTTTTTTGTAGAGATGGGGGTCTCCGTATGTTGTCCAGGCTGGTCTCGAACTCCTGGGCTCAAGCAATCCTATCTCAGCATCCCAAAGTGCTGGGATTGAGGGAGTGAACCACCACACCTGGCCTTATTTCTAAGTTTCTAAATGATTCAAGGTCATTCCTGGGTCTTGAGCCAGCAAACAATGACTGTTGTGAGCAATCCAATTGATGCCTTCATTATGAGGTGGGAAAGAGCAAAGATGGTCAGGGAGGCCACACCCCAACGACAGCGACAATGACGGATGTATGAAGGTCTGTCTCCATTTGTGATTCTGTTGACACCTCAAATGATGATGGTCTGGTTCCCAGAGTGTTTACTCCATGACCGGGATTTGTGTAGACTTGCAGTAATTTTTACTGACTTGTTTTGAAGAATGAGCTTCTTAGCTATTAGATATTTCTGGAAGTAAAGTTTCAAATCCTAAAATAATAGAGATTTTCAAACTAAACTTCTGTTCTTGACAGCACACCTAGATTGAAACTTTTCTTTCCCACGAAAATAATATATTAAAAATATACCTCAAAATACATACATTTAATCTAGAAGAGTTGTACTTTAATAAAAGAAAAAACAAATCTATAATATATGGAGTTTCTTTTCCTACCTTCTGTCTTCTGTTCATCAAAAGCTGATTCTAGTGGTGGGCCAAAGAGAGGAGCAAGGGCCGTAGTGTCATCTGGAGGCTTTTTGCTAAATCACACACATTAAGGCAAAATACAGGGAAAGGGCTCAAAAATTAATACTCAAAAAGATATACAAGCTTTCACATATTTTTCTTAGTGAAACAAGTGTGTGTGTGCACCAGTGCATGCATGCATGTGTATACAAGCCCCGTTAGGGCTAGAAAGTATTTTATAAGGATGTCAGATGTATTATGGGACAAAAGAATTGGTAGAAGGTGAGATCCTTAGTTCTCAATGGAGAGCTGAGGTGCTCACCCAATAGAAATAAGTTGAAGGAGAATAACTCTTTCAAAGCATCATGATTTTCTATACCTAGAAGAGATAATACTAGAGCTGAGTTTATTGCAAAGCACCTTTCTCCCCTAAGATCTCAAGTAAAATTTATATTTGATTTCACCACATCTCTTTGTTGTAGTTAATGCAATTTATAATTAGCGAAAGTCAAGCATAGCAATATTAAGTAAAAAGCCACCGAGAAGTTTCATCCTCTAATAGACTAGTTGTAACCTCCTAATACTCCAAGATAGTAAATCTCAGAAAGAGAAGTATTGAGAAATCAGGGGGAACAGGAGGATAATAAGTTAAACTCGCATCCCTTCTCTTGATTATTACTCCAGACTGATTATTAAGAAAATGATGCATAATTATCTTCATTTCTTCTCCAAATCTGATTCCCCTCATTGATCCCAGTGAGGTCTATGTGGTATGGTAACGGGCAAGGGGTGAAGAGGAGAGGGGAGAGGTTGGAGGAGGATAAAGATTGAAAATAATCCAGTTTCAAAATAGAAATAGCAGTCTTTTTATAAAACAATGCCATTTGTACAATACTTACCTAACCCACAGAATACACTGTAAAATACAATGCTTTGCCAAAAACTAAAAACAGAATGGAAGATTCCTTTGGTGTGTGGCAGGTGGAATGTATCATGAGATGGTATCCAACTAAATAGGCTTCTTTTCGTAGGGTAATATAATGATATTGAAGATCAGCATTCCAGACACCAAAATACCTCTTTAGAGAGAAACTTTAGCTGTCCCATCAGGAAGGGGCCTGCACATTCTGATAGACAGTTACTTCAGATAAGGGCAGAATATTTCCCTAAAGGTCTCCCTTGGGCTGCACTTATGAAAAATAATAACATATTTGGACCATGCTGTGGACATATGGACTGACATGTTTTGGTAGAGCCTTTGTTAATGGGAGCTGAGAGTTTAGCTCAAAGGAGATTTGCTTAATTGTTAAAAGTTCATGATGCCTTGCATAAAACACAACTAATGTCTTTCACACTCACCTTATAAGTTCTGGAGTTGGTGTGGAACGCCTGGGTCTTGCCACTTCTTCACCTGATGCACAGGACAAAGGAACTTTTTAGACAAATTTTTACCATTCCCTGATATGTCTTATAACCTATGTTTGGAAACACTTAGAGATTTAAGTCCCATCAATAAGCAACTCAGTATGAAAACTTTGCAAAACAAACCTTCTCCCCTGGCAATGCAACAGCCATATATTAGGCATATGTAGTGGTGTTTTCTCTGGCATTTGTAAAACCTCATTAACTAAGGAACTTCCGTGACAAGCCATCAAATAGAAGATTTGTATAGTGCAGCACTTAGTGAAAGAGCACACCATTCTTGGAATGTCTGCTGCCTTGACTGGTTCTGCTTTCCAATTAAGAGAATACTAAGCCAGGCCATATGTGTAATACATGAATCCAGCATTCTCTGCCTGTTCTTTTCTTGAAATGCCAAGAAAATGTTGTATCTTTAACTATGAAACATGAATTTAGAATTTCCTAGGAAGTGTTGTATGCAGCAGAGGAAAATTGTGCCCTATGTGTATTATAACCTATATCGCATCACTTTGGTTGACTAAAATTTTCATATCAAATAACACAAGAATGGGTAAGTTGCTTCTACTTTCAGTTCCTTCTGCCCGCCTGTTCTTCCCACCCCCAGCAACAAATACACACTTGATTAAATTCATTTCTAAAGTTAAATAATACAGCAAGAGTTGACAAATATAGAAAGAAAATAGCAATGTTTTTCCAAAAACATATTTATTTTCAGAACTTAAACATTAATCACTCAGAACCCACAAGTGCCCTCTATCATTACAAGAATTCTTTGCTGTAAAAGTAAAAAAATTGTAAGTCTTAAAAATTAAGCCCAGGAATGTATAATTCATATGTACATATACTCCAAGATCCAAGGAACTGTTCTTTCTTTTAAATCATACACTATTTCTGGTAGCTAAGATATACTTACTGGATAAGTTCCTTTTAATTGCACCCTAGAATTAGAAATAGACACTATAAGGTTTAAGACCACATATATGTTATGTACAATATGTATTATTTCTGTCATTGCAATTAAACTGAACTCAAATAAATGCAGATAGGGAAATGAACTTTTTCTCAGAACCGCATTTAAGTAGGAAATTGTAGATACACACACAGAAATCAGTTTTTTATTTCACTCAAAGATTATAGAGAGGAAGAAAGGGTAAATCGTAAGTCTTCTGAAGAAGAAAAACCCCTTACCTGGGTAGATTTGGTAAATTAAATTCAAATATTGATTAGTCCATTAAAAAAAACCTCTTGAAGTCTAGTAGATAAGAAAGTAAATCGAAGTTTAGCATATATTTGATGCTTAAAAATTACAGAATGTGTTTAGGAGTAGTGCATGCTCCTTGCCAGGTGTGGTCCCCAGGTTGCTAATGGAAACAGTCATCAGTTTACAAATGTGATTTTAAAAGGTATAGATAGCAAGTGTAAAAGGCAGGGGAAACTTGAACTATCTGCCATTGAATGAACTGTTTTATTCAGAAAGCCAGGGAATTCCACCTATGCACTCATCCTCCCAATTTATTTCACTTGCCTGCCACTAGGCCCATCAATTCATGAATTGGAAGTAATGTCTTTAGCTCAAGGCATTGTGATATTATTGGAATACAAATAGCCCTGGTAGGAATAATCTGAGCAGGTCATCTCCAGTTTTTATAATGCCTTAGCATAAACTTATTTAGATAGTAAAAGGATTGATTAGATTAAGAGTTTTGATTAAAAACCAGAAGTTGTGAAAAGTTCTTAGTGTGGGATGCCACCAGAAAACTAGACCACCAGGATGGTTGCATCGTGGGGTACAGCATGGCTTGGGATGCCTGCAGTAGGAGAATGACAGGGGCAGAGTTGAGGACAGGGAAAGCTGAAGTACATATAAGAAAGCATTCCAAAAGCTGAGACCATGAACACATTTGTTGGATGGCCACCAAACACATTTTTTCCTACTTTTTAATTTTAGTGAAGGCTCAATCTGGTGGTCACAGATACATTTTCTTCTCTCAAAGTATAACATTAACAGCTTAGGACAAGGTTTAGCACCTCTGTAATTGACCTATAAGAAGCTTCTTTCCCTCGTTCCTAAGGCTATATAAGCATTTTCTGTCCCATTTTGAACCCATTTATGCTACGGGAGCAGTTTCAATCTGAACAAGGATCCATTTGATGCTTTCTCAATCTCTCAAACTACATTTTCTGGCTTTTTGTCTAATAATGTGATCTGTTTTTCCCTACTAAGTGTGTCATATAGAGAATTACTACACTATTTATAAATACTTTCTAATAAATATGGCCATGTAAATCTGCTGAGGACATTATGGAAGTTTGGATACAGGTTCGCTTTTGGAAAAGAAGGCTCTGTAGACAGAAATGATTAGATAACAGAAATAATTAGATAACAGATGTTTTTCTGGGTTATGAACCCTCAGATAGAATTTCATTAATAAGATCTGAAGGAAGAGATAGAGGGGCTTTAGTTCCAAGCAGTCAATCACAAGATTAATAAATGGCATTGAGGGAACACAGCCCACCTAGTACTGTGAGGCCTAAAAGCCAGGAGGTCCCAGAGGTTGTATTGAAGACCTTTTTGTCCCTCTGTCCTACTCCTTCAAATGTTAATATCCATGAAACCAAGAAAGCTACAGAGCTCCTTTTGTAGTCATCAATTCCCAGGTGTGTCAATTCATTCAATGGATATTCACAGTTGAAAGGCACTAAAGAAGAAGCCCCTGTAACATTTTTATTAAATAGTCTTCATGAATGAACAATCTCAAGTTAAGTGCAACCAAAACATGGCAGAAATATTCAAGAAAACTCTGTTGTTTAGAAATTAGGAAGAACAAAGCTAGTATCAATTTAGAAAGCAACAAATGTTTGAAAGATCAGCAGCAACTCAGCAGCAACAGAAAAGAAAGTCCTGCTATCTGCTGGATGGGCATACAGATCTCTGATGACCTTAATGTTGCAGCATGACATATCTAGAAAAAGACTGAGGTGATGTCGACCACACAAACCACATTCAGGAAAAAAGCCCATTGGATTCAAAAACCTCCCTTTGTCAAGCGACTGTATTTTCCCCCTTTCAATGCTTGTTTGTTGTTATATGTATGTTGTGAATAAATTTCCTCACTTTGAATGATTGAATTCACTCTTTTCATAATCTGTGATGTCACTTAACAGCTGGGTTGGAATCATCCGTAGATTAGCAGTCTCTGCAGATACCATCTTTGAATGGCATTAGCTATGTAGTTTAGCAGAGAACCACCAACTGGTCACCTGGGGCAGGGTATTTGCATCAAATAATAATTGACTAATTGGATTGGCACAGGCCTAGGGATATTTCAGAGAGTGTTGTCTTCAGTTCCATTTCCTCTCTTAAGGGACTGACCAGGTAAATGGGGATCATTTCAAACCTAACAAAGACCCTTCTTTTTGTTGCTTTAAATTCATGATACTCTTCAGCTGGGCGCAGTGGCTCAGCCTGTAATCCCAGCACTTTGGGAGGTCGAGGCAGGTGGATCATGAGGTCAGGAGATTAAGACCATCCTGGCTAACATGGCGAAACCCTGTCTCTACTAAAAATACAAAAATTAGCTGGGCATGGTGGCAGGCGCCTGTAATCCTAGCTACTCGGGAGGCTGAGGCAGGAGAATTGCTTGAACTCGAGAGGCGGAGGTTGCAGTGAGCAGAGATCACGCCACTGCACTCCAGCCTGGGCAACAGAGCGAGATCCGTCACAGAAAAAAAAAAATTTATGATACTTTTCAACTTGAGGAAAACGACAGTTTTCACTTTGAACAATGCAAATTAATATTGATCTACCCTCCCAAAGTTTGTCTTCTGTGATGAAATTTATTTAGAATTATGTGATAGCCTAGGAATATTGACTTGAAAGTGTGTCTCCCTCTCCCAAGATGGAAATTATAATGATGTATCTGTATATTCTGATCATTGTAAGTTATGGTCCAGGAACATATTTTGAATTCAGGCTTACAAACAATGATGGCTTAAAAATGATGTCCTTACATTCTTATTCATTTTATTATTCTTTATTATCTCTTTGCTATCAACTTCTATGGTACTTTCTGGTGAATCTCTAGGCCTTTTATATACACATACACACACACACACATATATACACACACACTCCATATATTTTCCAAGTTTAGTACTAGGAGTTGGGATTCCCATCTATTAATTTAGTTACTTATGGGAAAGTGCTCTGACAATTCTAAAATATGCCCTTGATACTTAAGAGGGTCAGAGGCTTTCAATCAGTAAACCTATTTCATCTGCCTCATTCACACTGGGTTATCATAAATTTAATGGGAAACCAACCTGGCCACCTTGCCTTGGCAGCAATTTTCTCTATACATGTTTAAGGTAAAAATGTTGAGAGTTCTTACCGGGCTGCGCCTCTGTGATCAGCAAAAAGGAAGAGAGAACAGACACCTAGTCAGAGAATGATGGATCAGTCAACAGTCTTGGGTAACAGAAGACTTTATAAGCAGCTAACCAAACATACACTCCAGAGAATCAGGCCAAAGGAAGACAGGCAGTCCTAGTGTTTAGGGCTTATTTAAACCATAGGAGGCTTTGGAGAACCTTAAAGAGAGGCTATCCATTGTACAATACAGCTTTGCTAATGTGGGTATGTAAGTTTTAGTTATGTGTACATAAGAACAAGGCAGAAACATACAAGAAAACTTTACTGACAATGTTTAATGTCTTGCCGTAGAAGTTTTTCTCCAGATAGTTTGGGGGGGGGTACTTAGAGAATAGAGAAGTAAACTGTTTCCCTACAGAGCTGGATGTTAGCAAATATAGACAATAATGCATTTCCCACATAGTTAGGGTACAAAAAGAGCTTACAAAAAATCAGAGGCAGGATTTAGAGACCCCTTTTCCTTGTCTGGATTTTTTCTTTGGTGTTCTATGGAAGGTGTGCTTATAAGGATTTTTTGAATGTTCTTGGCCTAGTGATCTGGGCAGCCTCTACCAATGTGATGCGAATGATGAGAATGTGATGGCGAAGATGAGGAGCCCCTGACAAACGTAGTCGGGAATGACGAAAACTGTCCAGCAGCAACAGAACCCTGGTGGACCAGATGACCTTAGAAAACACAAAATCAATGTGCAAAAATCATGAGCATTCCTATACACAAATAACAGACAAACAGAGAGCCAAATCATGAGTGAACTCCCATTCACAATTGCTTCAAAGAGAATAAAATACCTAAGAATTCAACTTACAAGGGATGTGAAGGACCTCTTCAAGAAGAACTACAAACCACTGCTCAATGAAATAAAAGAGGACACAAACAAATGGAAGAACATTCCATGCTCATGGATAGGAAGAATCAATATCATGAAAATGGCCATACTACCTAAGGTAATTTATAGATTCAATGCCATTCCCATCAAGCTACCAATGACTTTCTTCACAAAACTGGAAAAAACTACTTTAAAGTTCATATGGAACCAAAAAAGAGCCCTCATTGCCAAGACAATCATAAGCAAAAAGAACAAAGCTGGAGGCATCACACTGCCTGACTTTAAACTATGCTACAAGGCTACAGTAACCAAAACAGCATGCTGCTGGTACCTAAACAGAGATATAGACCAATGGAACAGAACAGAGGTCTCAGAAATAACAATACACATCTACAACCATCTGATCTTTGACAAACCTGACAAAAACAAGCAATGGGGAAAGGATTCCCTATTTAATAAATAGTGCTGGGAAAACTGGCTAGCCATATGTAGAAAGCTGAAACTGGATCCCTTCCTTACACCTTATACAAAAATTAATTCAAGATGGATTAAAGACTTACATGTTAGACCTAAAACCATAAAAACCCTAGATGAAAACCTAGGTAATACCATTCGGGACAGAGGCATGGGCAAGGACTTCATGACTAAAACACCAAAAGTAATGACAACAAAAGCCAAAATAGACAAATGGGATCTAATTAAACTGAAGAGCTTCTGCACAGGAAAAGAAACTACCATCAGAGTGAACAGGCAACCTACAGAATGGGAGAAAATTTTTGTAGTCTACTCATCTGACAAAGGGCTAATATCCAGAATCTACAAAGAACTTACACAAATTTACAAGAAAAAATCAAATAACCCCATCAAAAAGTGGGCAAAGGATATGAACAGACACTTCTCAAAAGAAGACATTTATGCAGCCAATAGACACATGAAAAAATGTTCATCATCACTGGTCATCACAGAAATGCAAATCAAAACCACAATGAGATATCATCTCACACCAGTTAGAATGGCAATCACTAAAAGTCAGGAAACAACAGGTGCTGGAGAGGATGTGGAGAAATAGGAATGTTTTTACACTGTTGGTGGGAGTGTAAATGAGTTCAACCATTGTGGAAGGCAGTGTGGCGATTCCTCAAGGATCTATAACTAGAAATACCATTTGACCCAGTGATCCCATTACTGGGTATATACCCAAAGGATTATAAATCATGCTGCTATAAAGACACATGCACACGTATGTTTATTGTGGCACTATTCACAATAGCAAAGACTTGGAACCAATCCAAATGTCCATCAATGATAGACTGGATTAAGAAAGTGTGGCACATATACACCATGGAATACTATGCAGCCATAAAAAGGATGGGTTCATGTCCTTTGCAGGGACATGGATGAAGCTGGAAACCATCATTCTGAGCAAACTATCGCAAGGACAGAAAACCAAACACCAGATGTTCTCACTCTTAGGTGGGAATTGAACTATGAGAATGCTTGGACACAGGGTGGGGAACATCACACATCAGGACCTGTCGTGGGGTGGTGGATGGGGGAGGGATAGAATTAGGAGAAATACTTAATGTAAATGATGAGTTAATGGGTGCAGCAACCAACATGGCACCATGTATACATATGTAACAAACCTGCACGTTGTGCACATGTATCCCAGAACTTAAAGTATGATAAACAACAACAACAACAACAACAACAAAAGCACAACAAGCAGATGTATGACCTCTTTCTTTTGCTTTTCAAATCTTGATTATGGCTGCTATCAATTTATTCCAACAATCTCTAATAGCTCTGCCTCTTTAGGAGCTTTCCGATATAAACACGAGTGACTAGCATGTGAGTAGGGAAAGAGCTGTTGGTCAGTTTCCCTTTCAATATGTGCGCTAATGCATGGATTCACCAGAGGCTACCTCCCAAAACCAAAACTAGGAGCACAAACACAAAGAAAGCTAGGAGTTTGTTCAAATGTAGAAGATGTTCTTTCTAGAACATAGATAGGAAGCAAAAACTTGTAGCTTTTTACATCTGGTAGGCCTCCAGGAATGTCTAGTTCAACTGGCTACATGCTATAGAGAGGAAGGTGAGGCTCTGAGATATACAGCTAGTAGGCAGGTAGAACCAGACACAGAATTCAGATCCCTGATTTCTCATTTTCTCATTGCTTCTATGATGCCAAGCTTGGCATTGTTGAATGACTCCAAAAGCAGAGAGTCATTGTGATTAACGTCCAGGAGTGGTTATTTTTCAGACCAGTTTATAAGTAGCTAGGACACTAGACATATTATTCTAGTCAATTTACTTGTAATATTATAGACTTTATTATTTGCCTTATTTTCCAGATACTGCTACCTATTGAATCCACCTTTCTTATAAACCTGCCTGGATGCACCTTAAATGAAATTAGAAAAAAAAGGCCACATAAATACCTATTTCTGTGCTTAAATTATCTTATTGACTAATCCATACTGTGCTTTGAGGAAAATTCAAATACTTTTTTATATGAAAATTTAGACTTTATTATTCTTTAGTGACCAGATTAAAAAGTTCTTTGGTGTAGAAAGAAGTATGGGAATTTCATGACAAACAATTCACTTTTAAAATATAGCAATTAGAGGACTAAAAGTGGCCCAAGATGAAATTATGAGAAATATGAAAAATAGAGTCTAGATTGCAAGCATTCAGAGGCAAAACCTTACATATAAGACACTTTATTATTAAAGTAGGTGCAAAAGTAATTGCGGTTTTTTGCTATTACTTTTAATTTAAGGTTATACAGAACACTTTTTCAAAATAATTTCAAATATATTAATCCACCCAAATTGAGTTGTATCTTAATTTCCAATGAGTTATAAACCTATACTTTAATCACAAGTTCAAGGTTTAATTTTTTTTCTAGTAAAAGACAACCTTGTAATATAGCATTTTGGAAACTCCATTTGCAAAATGCCTTCAGCAGGGAATAGCTGTTCAAATTCATGTAGTCACAGGCTGATTAAACAGAACCCAAAAGACACAGCTAGAAGCTGTGCAAAGTACAGACCCAGAAAGCCTCAAGGTCTATAATTAAGAGCTATCTGAAAGCTTCAATAGGAAAATAATTCCAGGAGCAAATGGAAGGGCTTTATATATGTCAGTTACCACCACCGAAGAGCAAAAACTGGCTTAGGCTATGCTGGACAAGGACAGAAAAATTATTATCAGCCAGGAGGGAAGGGTCTTTTCCTGTTCACAATTTTACTTTACCCTTTCTCCCATCATTTCCCAAGAATGTCAAAGCCTTTAGTGTTCTATTTTTTGTTTACCAATATACAGAATTTTCTTCAAAGGCAGAAGAAAACTGATTTAGTATCTGGTCTTGATATATTCTATAAGCTGAGAGATCTATGTCCAGAGTTGCAAACCCAAATGCTTGCAGGAGTAAAAAGTGGGTGGGGGATGGGGAGGGGGTGCTGGGAGTCAGGCACATACACATTGTGAGATTCTGGAAAACTTGCCACTGTTCAGTGCACCCCATGTGCGCCACGTGAGAATGTGGGCTTAGTCCTGCCAGGTCTTCAGAGAGATGATGAGCATCCAGATTTTTTTTTTTAATTTGAAATGTTCTAGTTTTGAAATGTGGGCTAAAATCGTTTTTAACTGCACAACCAAACAAAACACCTATTCATTTGTTCAGAATCTGCAGGAGATTAATTCATCTCTGATTGCAGCCATTTGTATCATACATAATAAGCTCTCAGTAAATTCTATCTGCTGTTATTATTGCTATATTTCTATGTCTGATTACTCAGAGACTTTGCAAGTGGTCTACTTGTTTTCTGAACAAATTTCCTTCATTTCTAATTAAATACTGTGTTCAATACCTAGATTTCTGTTGGTCTTCCAATGCGGAAAACATTTTATTTTCCCTTCTACTTTTATTTTGGTGTTCAACTTAGAGATAACTCTTATTTTATATGTTGAAACTATTTTCAAAGTGGATAAACACTGCTAATCTATGATTTTGTCACTGGAATGAAGATCTAGAATGTGGTATATTTCTAAAATTTATATAATTTTCAAAATGAATATGTCTACCTAAAAGAAAACACTGCAGCCTATGTCTTCAGCCTTCACACTGTTCTTCTATGACACGGCAGTTCTATTACCTTTTGCTTAACAGAATTAATTTAAATTCAGTTAACTATGACACCTTAGTCTTAGTCAATGTGAATAAAGTGTTTCAATATGTTTATCATTTCCAACTAACCAAACAGTCTATCCCCCTTGTCACATTCATTAAATAACCCAGATTTTGAAGTTTTGTGACATCCTAATTTGCTAAATTTAGTGCTATGGGGAAACAAAGATGAAAATAGGCAATAAACTACAAAGCACTAAACAAATAAGACTTTTCTGTAGTCTCGTTTTAGCAAATTGAGTGATTAATGTTAGAGAATTTTCTAGGAAAGGATTAGAATATATGATCACTACATTTATTACTAAGATTCCTACGAGGATTCCTATTTGTTTTTTAAATGCTTTAGGGTGAAGACAAACTATTTGGCAAGCATTAATTTGCCACACTATTGTAGGTGTTTATCTGTATTTAAACTTGGGTCGACTACATATTACAAGTTAGATTACGGAGACTGTCTATTATATTCAATCAGACATATTTGAGATGATCTTCTAAAACTTCATTTGGGAAGAGAAACAAAGAACCTGCTAGTAACCAAGGTATCATCAAAATGACCAGGCTGAGGAATCAAGATGGACATTTCCAAAGAAAAATGAGGTGAGGGAATGATGGGGGGGATATTCTTGTAGTTAAAATTGCCGTGAAGGACAACAGGAGAAAAATTAATGAAAAAGAGAATTTTTAAAGCACCATAGGCAAACTTCAGGCCACACAGTCCTGTGGATATTTGAGGTGGCCAAATTTGGTTAATTCAGGAAAATATTCAGGGTCTACAAGAATAAATGAAATTGGTAAAGGGTAAGAAAAGGCTGTTAAAGAGCACCAGTAATATTTTGCTGCCACAGAACAGGCGATGCATAGTTGACTCTGAATTACTCAGAAGCGGGCCATTTAGCTTAGTAATAATCGTAATTGTAGCTGCCTATTTTATTTTTGGAAACCAAAAGAGTTGGGCTCACATTTTGAGACATTTTAATGTTTTGGTCTCATATTTTTGTCCTTCCTGTGTCTCTGTTCCGCCTCCCTCCTATCCTATAGCTTTTCTGTAAGCACAGTATCCTGTATGTGGTGCAGTGGCTGCCAGGATTTGGTCAGCGGGAAGCATAAGAGGTGAAAGCACTTATTGCACCATCCACCTAGGTGCGTTAACAACAAACCGGTCACTTGTTGGTGCTGTGAACATGGAACATAATATCTTCCTATTTTCCAGCAGAGAGGTCACCTCTGTCAGCCATGCATCAGCATCCTGAGAACATGTTCCCAACAAACCAGGCAACCAAGAAGAGAACAAATTCATTTTATTTTTTGAAATCTGTTCCTCGTGTTGCTCTAAAATAAAACGATGTAGGTACATCGTATCAGACTTGTGTTGCCACTAAAAATCACCCACTGCTACTAAAAATTAACATCCAGGAGGTAATTTACATTTTATAAAGATTCTCTTTTCCAGACTCTGACAATTCCAGGAGGGAATATTTTGATTTACTAAAACAAAAACAAAATAAAACCCCCCAGCTTCCCTACAACTCCCCATTCCCGGGCCAGCTTCATAGGCATTCCAGATGCTACTATGTTGTACGCTAATCAAAAATTAACTTATAAAACATTTGCTTAGCTCATGATATGTATAAGTAGCTTGACTAATTCCAGTGGAAACTGCAATAAATGAAACTTAGTACCAAAAATATTTGATCGTGTGGCTGTGATTGAACCAGAGGTGAATCTTTACAAAATTACCCCAGGGCCCTTAATAACGGGGTTGTAAAAGCACTTAGCAACCAACTTCCTTTTTTCCCATGTGGCATAATGAGACCTGGTCATGGTTCGCAAAGATTTGTTTTTAAAGTTCAAAACCTTGTTTAGGTGTTAAACACAGTCAGTCATTAGATATGCAGATAATGAAAATAAACAGAATAAATAATGTTTGCCCCAAAAGCGGGAAGGACTTATTTCTTACCGGACTTTTCCTCTAAAAGCGTAGGCATGGGGAGGAAGAATAAAGAGAAAATGAGAGAGGTGAAATGTATTTTCAAGAAGAAACAGGTCAAGGTTCAGGATAACCTTACTTAAGGGAGCTCTCGAAGGCACTGCTTTTATAAATGCTTCCTGTGGGGGTCTGATATGGTCATTCCTAGGCTGCTGTCTTTAGTTCAAGCTACAGAGGGCATAGGTGTGGACTTCATCTGGGCATCTGAGCACATTCTAAACTTGCTCTTTCCTCCCTTCCTTCCTCCCTCCCTCCCTCCCTCCCTCTTTCTTTCTTTCTCTTTCTTTCTTTCTTTCTTTCTTTCTTTCTTTCTTTCTTTCTTTCTTTCTTTCTTTCTTTCTTTCTTTCTCTCTTCTTTCTTTCTTTCTTTCTTTCCTTCCTTCCTTCCTTCTTCCTTCCTTCCTTCCCTCCCTCCTTCCTTCCTTTCTTCCTTTCTTTCTTTTCTTTCTTTCTTTCCTTCCTTCCTTCCTTCCTTCCTGTCTGTCTGTCTGTCTGTCTTTCTTTCTTTCTTTCTTTCTTTCTTTCTTTCTTTCTTTCTTTCTTTTTCTTTCTTTTTCTTTCTCTCTTTTTCTCTTTCTGTTTCTGACAGAGTCTGTCTTGCTCTGTGCCCTGGGAGGAGTGCAGTGGCATAATCATAGCTCACTGAAACCCTCAACTCCTGGTTTCAAGAGATCCTCCCACCTCAGCCTCCCATGTAGCTAGGACTACAGGCATGTACAACAGTCTCTGGCTAATTATTTTTATTTTTGTAAAGATAGGGTCTTGCTATATTGCCCAGGCTAGTCTTGAACTTCTGGTCTCAAGTGATCCTCCCACCTCAGCCTCTTAAAGTTCTGGGATTACAGGTGTAAACCACCGTGCCTGGCCTAATCTTTCTTTTGAATGGTTTACTTTTATCAAACAGATCTGTGGCTTGACAATAAAAAAATTATGCCTTGTAATATTGAGAGGAGTTGGAAAATACTACTCATGCATTGTAGCTGGGCACGGTCATGAAATGAAAGCATGAGACTTTCCAGAAGCTCCAGTTTCTCCAGGGAACCCAGAACCTATCATCTCCCAAGTCACCATGGCTAGAGCCGTCAGTTCTTCTTTGATCCCATCCTTAATTTTCCCCTATTCTTCATAGACAATTATGAATTCTTCTCCCTGTGAGTGGTCAATGGCCCCTCAGAATGCCCTGTTACTTCCTCAGCACCTGTCTTAATGAGGCCTTCATTATCTTTCACTGACAGCACATGAGCTTCCTAGCTGATGGTCCTATTTCCAGCTTCATCTCCTAATCCATCCTTCACACTATCCTCGGAATCATTTTCCAAAAATAGTGAAGTGAATATATCATTCTGCCCTTAAAAAACCTCCTTATTATCCGGAAAATAGAATGCCAACTCCATTCTATGGAATTTAATGCTTTGGTGATGGGCTCCAACTTCCCTTCCCATCCTCATCGTCCTCCGTTGGCTTTCTATGAAGCCTGCACTTCGCTGCACTCTCCTGGCTCTCTTGGATGTGCCGTGCACTTACACGCTTCCCTGTCTCCTGCCCATGCTGCTTCTCCCTCTCCCCCAATCAAAATTACTCATTCTTCAAGGTCAGTAACATTTCTTCCATGAGACCTTTCCCAGATTCGCCTGCCAAAATAAATTGTTCCCTTCTCTGGTTTGATTGTGACCCATTCCTTTTGTTCAAAATAATAAACAAATATTGAAGGCCTTTCTATTGGCCTGACATTTATTAGCCTCAGGGAACAAAGGTACCCATTGCTAGTACATTTCTGCAATTTTTATTTTGTTCTGTATTATTTAGATATCTCCACTTGATTATTAGCTCACAGTAATGGCTATGCATGGATTCTCTCTAGCCCCAAACATAGAGTGAGGCACTCAACACATGTTTATAAATTCCCTTTTTGGGGAGCCATTGAAACATTATACAAATGTTTGAAGCACAGTGTCTTTTGAAATATAAAAAATAAATTGTTGTCTGAAATAAGGTTGAATTATATATGGCACAAGCTATGTGTCCTCAGTTGTAATGTTTCTTTCACCAGCTCCATAAATATTTCAGTTAGTTCCTACTTAACTGTTAATTTCTCTGCCTGTTAGTGACCTCAGGTGCTTACACATGTTGCAAATGTTCTAAAGAAGTGGCACAGCTTTGTACAACATTAGTGTAGATTATGTGTTCAGATCTCCAGGGCAGAATTTTCTCCTAGAGCAAAAACTAATGCTTCAGAATAGTTAAGGGCCAAGAAAGGGACTACATCCTTGTAGTTTTCAGTCCTTGAACTAAAACTCTTACTTATAAGGTAAATTTCTCAGCCTTTTCTAAAATAAAATGCATCTTATTTAATTAAAATCAGAAGACTAAACATGAACACACAAATGATAAAGGTTACCCCTCCCCTCCTCTACATCTCTCCACCTCAGGCTACCGCATATATTAAACCATCTTTATTTAATATGTTGTTTTGCTATGGCAGCAGCTATCAACACCTAGGCTATTATCCTGACCTCTTAGCTTAAAGGTTTCTTCAGAATGTTGAAAAAAACAATAAAAACAAAGATAGGAAAAAACAAAGATGTTTTCGATTTAAAATGGGCTAATAGCATCAGAGTTTATTTTTAATTATGGAAAAGATAAATAAGAGAAATGGGAGTGATATTCCTCTGGGCTTACTTGTAAATAGAAATAGAGTAAGTGAATTTTTGGAGTAAAGCATAAATTTACCTAAAATATAACCATTGAATGGTTACAAAGTACAGGGATTTTTTTTTGTCCAATAGTCTAAGAAAACACAATTTCTGACTGACAAAGCTTGTTGAAAAGTGGCTTATCCCATAATCAACAGCTTTCAAGGAACTCATAGACCCTTATCCTCTGCAGCTGGAGAGTCTCTCTCTCTGTCTCTCTCTGGCTGTTATTACTCCAAATAACATGGTAAAATGCAAGTATGCACTCAAGTTAGGTTTTGTTGAGGACTACATTTTTGCATGAGGGGTTAGAAACCAATTCAAAATTGAATTGTGTTTGAGAATCAAAGCTAATAGAGGTGAATGAAGAAAATATAAACCAGTTTTGATGGTCACTTACATGAAGGTTTCGTGCTCTGATTACATCTCTGCTTGCTTCCTAGCTTAACAAGGAATTGAGCTGCCATGGGAATTTTGGCATCAGGCATCATAGAGTGGGATCAAGACATAAAAGTCAGGTTGAATCTGTAAGCCTTTTAAGAGTCTGCAATCATTGAACCTTAAAAATAGGATGGCTGTATCCTGAATCTTCCTCTTTTTATTTTCATTTATATGATATATTTTTAGAGATAGGGTCTAGTTTTATTCCCCAGGCTGAAGCGCAGTGGTGTAATCATAGCTCACTCTAACCTTGAACTCCTGGGCTCAAGTGATCCTCCCATCTCAGCCTCCTGAGTAGCTGGGATTATAGGTGCATGCCACTGCGCCTGGGTAATTTTATTTTTATTTTATTTTTTGTAAAGACGGGGTCTCGCTATGTTGCTCAGGCTGGTCTCAAACTCCTGGGCTCAAGCTATCCTCCCAACGTTGCTTCCCAAAGCACTGGGATTATAGGCATGAGCCACTATGCCCAATCTGATTCTTTATATTTTGATAAATGGGATTCTATTATAAAATAATCACTTTGTCTCAGTTATTTACGACTGGTTGGGTATTCACAAGGAGCAAAAGGATTATTCATTTATTAAGCCATTAACAGATATTTATTGAGCACCTAGTAAATACCAGACACTATTTTAGGGACATTAGTGAACAACAGAAAAGGCCATAAAAGCTCCAATGGGTTTACATCTGGGAGCAGGGGAAGGAGAAAGATAATCAGTAATAAATACTGTCATGCATTGTATATGGATGCTTTGGTCAACGATGGACTGCGTATACGATGGTGGTCCCATAAGATTATGACAGAGTTGAAAAATTTCTATTGCCTAGTGATGTCATAGTGCAATGCATTACCCATGTGCTTGTGGTGATGCTGGCGTAAACAAACCGCCTGTGCTGCTGTATTATTAAGTACAAATACTTGATTATATAAATGGCTGTTACTGGTTTATGTATTTACTATACTATTTATTGTTACTTTTTGAGTATACTCCTTCCACTTATAAAAAACAAGTTAACTAACTGTAAAACAGCCTTGCGCAGGTCCTTCAGGAGGTATTTCAGAAGAAGGCATTGTCACCAGAGGAGGTGACAGCTCCATGTGTGTTATTGCCCCTGCAGGCCTTCCAGTGGGATAAAAGGTGGAGGGGAAAGACAGTGATGTTGCTGGTCCTGACCCTGTGTAGGTCTAGGTTAATGTTTGTGTTTGTGTCTCAGTTTTTAACTAAAAAGTTTAAAAAGTGAAAAGAAAAATTTTTAATAGAAAAAAGCTTGTAGAATAGAGTATAAAGAATTTAACTATTATAAAGTATTAAAATACCTTAAATACTACAAAGAAAGAGTATAAAGTATTTTCATACAGCTGTACAATGTTTTTGCATTAAATGTTATAACAAAAGAGTCAATACATTTTAAAAAATTTAGAAGTTTACAAAGTAAAAGAGTTATAAGGCTAATTTTATAAATTTAGGGTAGCCTAATTGTACAGTGTTTACAAAGTCTGCAGTAGTGTCCAGTCATGTCCTAGGCCTTCACATCCACTCACTGGCTCACCGAGAGCAACTTTGAGCCCTGCAAACTCCATTCATGGTAAATGCCTTATACAGGCATACCATTTAAACAAATCTTTCATGCCATATTTTTACTGTACTTTTTCTATGTTTGGATACACAGATACCGTTGTGTTACATTTGCCTATGGTATTCAACATAGTAACATGCTATACATATTTGTAGCCTAAGAGCAATAGGCTATACCATGCAGCCTAGGTGTGTGGTAGGCTATACCATCTAGGTTTGTGTAAGTGCACTCTGTGTTGTGCACACAATGATAAAATTGCCTAACAACAATTAAGCAACACACGGCTGTGTAATAATTAAATAAGGAAAGTATTTAGTATTTTAGAAGACGGCAAATGCAATTTTAAAAAGTAGAGCAAATAAAGGGGTTCAGGAATTCCAGGGCAAAGGGTTTTGCGATTTTATATAAGGTGGGCAGGGTAGGCTTCCTTGAGAAAGTGACTGAGCAAACAGATGAAGTTGTTGAGGGAGGTCACAATACAGCTATCTAGGGGAAGAGGGCTCCCAGGGAGCCAGGGAGTAGTGGAAGGAGAGGGAAGAATGGCAGGCGTTAGTCTAGGGATGGGGGAATCTTGACAATGAGGCTCTTGAAGACCACCGTGAAGATTTTGGCTTTACTCTGCTCCAATGCGGCTTATTGCTGTTACTTATCAGGAGTTCTGAGGTGTGGACATTTAGTAACTGTTGGTGTTGAGAAGAGGCATGGATGAAAAAATATCAGAAAATACCTGGTTATGATATGTGCTGTCATTTGTCATTCCTCTTTGGAAACTCATTTTGATTCTCCCTGTGCTGTGTTTAAAAAATAATGAAATAAAGATGGGCTTCAAATAGGTTACAAAGTGGAAAGGAGTTTCAGTTGGGCAAAACACACTGAGGCCAGTCCATCTGCCCTCTGTCTCTGTTGCCCACATTGGGACAGGCAGCTTGGCTGGCAGGCACAGCTCTGCACCTCTTCTGTGCTGGCTGCTATTTCAAGCTACAGCTCCAAGGTCCATGGGCAGTTAGAGGCTGTCCTTTAGACAGACATAAGTCAGAAGGAAATATCACCTTCATTCTGTTTAGAAAGGACATTCTCCCCAGTCTTTGAGGAAAAATTTTTTGACATAATTAATATGAGTGATTCACACTGTAAGATTTTTTTTTCTAAAACAATAAAAAGTACATTTACTGCTGTAGACTGCTGCCACTAAAACAAAATCTCCTTCAGAGGGCAAAGGGATAGATTTTTTTTTTCTTATACTGTTATGCTTATTTATACTATTATTCACATATTTGTAGAAACTCCTTAGTAAAAAAATAAGTATAATTGTACAAGAAAGATAATCATTGATAAAGTGACCCTCAAGGTTGAAGACAACTAAATGACTGAAAACCTCAGGCTTTAGATGAGAAAACAATCTCACTGGATGTGCACTAGGACCCACAGAAAAGAACACATTAACAAACTTTTTTAAAGAACCTACACATTGTAGAGGAAGAAACAGGAAATTATTGATCTTATTGTTCACCCATCAAGTAGTGAAAAAAGAAACTTGGTTAAGTTGAAGAGGAAAAGATCAAAGCAACTGAGACCATAAATTTGCTCTATTTGTAAAATAATGCAAGTAATGTAAGTTGCATTATAGCAGAGCTAGATACGGCATACATTTTATATAATGTCCCGTGGTGCATCCATCCACCCAGACAATCAACAATTATTTTCTAAGTACCTACTATGTGTCATTCACTGCTGTGGGCCCTAGAGAAAATGCCTCCTTAGAGAAAAAGTAGACAACCTACAAGCTCTGGGTGCAAGATTTGTTGTTAGAAACCCAACATTCAGTAAACTGTTCACAAAGTAGGCTTCTGTAAAAAACTTACTTTCAAAATTGGTTGCTTCTTTACAGAGCACATTCTACCCTGACTATGGCCCTTAGCTAATCAAAATAGTTTTAAATTCTAAATGCTACTAACATTTAACATCAAGGCAGACCTTAAAGGTATAAAAGTTAGCGTTTTTTGATTGCAATTAACATTATAATAAAAAACATGTAATTCAATAATTTGCTACTTCTACTGAGGCCATCCTAACATTTTATACAATGTGTCAATATTGTGAGTACACAGCCTTATTCAATGAAATTTTGATTTTGTTACAGAAATTGAGTGTTTGTGATCTCCAACCATGGTGATCATGTTTCCAGAACCCTCAAATCAGGTCAGCTTGCCCAGACAGTATAAAATGATGTAGGAATTGTGTTTATGCAAGAAAAATCTAACCCTTACATTTCAGGAAGAGAGCAAAATACCATCTACTGAGAAGGTACAACCAACATTAATTGGAGAAATCATGACAAAGGCACTCCAGGTTGAATACTAAATATTCATACAGCTCAGGGATTTCTTTTTACCAGAGTAAGGTGGGCATGAAAGGTGTGGATTTTAAATGTCAGGAAATGGAAGCAACAGAAAATTTCCTAGGGAAAAAAAAATCAGTAATGAAGGAAAGAAAAAGCATGTATCAGATACAAAACTAATTTTCTGCACACAGTCCATGGTTTATTAAAATGTTGAGAAGAAAAAAATATATTTTGAAAAAGAAAATTTCCACCTATTTTCCCATCTATCCTCTATGAGTCCTGGGAAAAACAAAAGTTGCGTCTCATGTGTTAACTCTAGCTGATTTTTGTCCAGCTGCCTGCAGGTCTGTCTAGAGGGGGCTGGCTTCTAAGCCCATGTCTGGGATTTAGTGGCAATGTCTGTGGAAGATTTGGGGATGGAGTGGCAGTTTATATGCCCCATGTTTGATATCCCTGGTATAGACCAATACAAATCACATTTGCCCTACGAAGCTTTCCTTGATGAGTAGAACTCAAGCTGAACCTCTGCCTTCTAATTTACTAAATAAGAGGTCTGGGCTGAGTGCCTTGCATCAGAATGCATGCAATCTTTAGCCTCTCCTTGCACTGTGCACTGCTTCTACCAGGAGAGAATGCTGGTGTGTAGGAGACTGGAGCTCACCTCCTCCACTGATGACTCTTTGTTTTCACTGAACTCAATGGGGTGCTGAACCTTCTGCTGAAGTGAGGACAGGAAAGGGGGTGGTGTTACCAAGCAGCGGCAAATTCATGAATTTTGCTCTCTGGCAGGCTAATTTGGGGGTGGAAGGGTGGGTGGGCCACATGGAACAGGCAAACAACACCAGACTGTCTCCAGTTCAAAGCTATTTCCCCCTCCTCATATTTTTTTGGTTAAAAAGTTATGCATTGCAAATCTCCAGGATGAAGATTAAACTAATTGTTCCTTCATGACTCAATGTCAGATTCTTTACTTCACTGTACCACTTACTTTCCAGAGGAAGGGAGAAGGCACTAGCCTACACGCCAGGGTAGGTCAGCTCCTGCTCTCACATCATTTCTCTCAGCCCTTGTGAGTTTGCTCAAGTCCTCCCTCGCTATTTTTATTTTCCTTCTGCCTCCTACAAGTCTCTGAACTTAAGGAAAAGGAAAGCAAAGCTGAGAAGGTGATTGATATTTAATGGCACCTTTTCTGGGAGACAGCACTGAACTGGGTATTTTACAATATTTTCTCATGTCATAAGAAGGTAGACACAATTTTTTTCCCATTTTACAGCCATGAGATCTGAAGCTCCGAGTTGAGGAACTCGCCTATGACCACACAGATAATAAGATATATACTCAAAAGCCTGTGTTCATTCTATTTATCCTTGTCTCTTGATCTTTCTGTGCTGGTTTCTCCGTAAAATAGGGGCATCACTACCTCCCAGATTGCTTAATAGTGCTGCTACTCATTTCATCCTTTTGATCATGACTGGGCATTTATAAAACATAGCATTATTATAATATGCCATTGACATAAAAAGTGCTTGCCAATTGATTAACTGATTAGGGGAACTGAAATAAATGAGCCATATAAAATGGACATCATTCCTTAACATTTAAAACAAAAGTGCAAACAATCTGCATATATAATAAGATAATTTTAATAAATGAGAAATCACATATCACACAACAGCATTTAAGCCTGACCTGGCAAGGTGTCAACTCAGCCTCGCTCTCCTGTCATGTGGTACAATATAGGAAGTGCTGTACCATAGAAGACTGGATGGTCTTCTATGGGTGGATGTGGATGAACTCAGTGGGGAGAAAGTCTGTGAGGTGGGCCCTTTGGGCTGGGATTATGGGCCCTTTGAGCATCCATCGATATCCTTCAAAGAGTTTATTTCATGTGAGCATTCAGAAATTGTATGTAAAATATTTTGAATGAGCTAGTGAACTTTTTTTTCTAGAAAGAGAGTCAATGGCTTTCATCAAAACTAGTGTAATATAGTGGTTAAGAGTTCTCAATTAGAAACAGAACTTTCTGAGTTTAAATCCCAGCAACTTCAGTTACTAGCTGTGATGCTTCGAGTGAGATAATAAATCCCTCAATGTCTCAACTTTCTCATCTGTAAAGTGGGGATATCAATAGTACTGATCTCACAGGTTGTTGGGAGCATGAATGAATTAATGTATGTGACACACAGCACTCGTGTTCACAGCTGCCACTACCAAATTCATCACCATGATAAGTTCTCAAAGTCATCAATGAGCTTAAAGGATGACTTTGATATTTTATTGTTATCCTGATTAATAATAGCTATCATTTACTAAGCACCTCTTTTAGACCTTACATAAATTTACTTACAAAGTACTAAGCACCTTATATGCATTCCTTAATTCTTACAAATATCCTATGAAGTGGGCAGTATTATTAACCTTATTTTACACTCGATTAAGCCTTGACTGAGGCTTAAAGAGTTAAGCAATTTGCTCAGGGCTACATGGATAATAAACGGAAAGTCAGAATGCAAACTTAGTTCTGACTTACTCCAGAGCACAGTATCTTAATCAGTAAGGAACAAAATGCTTGTAGTTAAAAGACACCTTCTCAAGGTAAGCCAGAAGGGATTATTGGCTCTCTGAAAAACAAAAATAAAGGAATCCATGGGAGCACATTATAAAAGGAAAAGATCACATCAAAGATTAAACCATAGCATTTGTCTTCTCACTCCCACAAAAGCCATGGGAGCCACAGGTTTTAAGGTACCTGCTGAGCACAGCACATGGTGCAGATGTGTCAGACAGTGCTCCGTGTGGGATTTGGAAGGAATGGAGATGTCCGTATCTGAGACCCTAGGAAGGGTGAGCAAGCCAGGAGACCTAGAAATGGAGGCCAGGGGGAATGTGGGCTGCAGAAAACCAATCAGGAAACTGAAGTGAAGACAGGCAAGCGTTTGAACCACAAGAAAAATTTCAGCTTCTGGTTGCTACTAGATGTTGTTTTCTCAGACTGTTCAGTATTTCTGGTATTAGCTCTCAGTGCCTGCTACATGGAAGGTGCTCAACATATATTTTGTGAAATGATTTGAAGGGGGAGTTAGAAATAAAGTCAATTATCCATGATGCACAATGAAGTGTGCCATTGTGAATGTTAGCCTTCAATAAGTCTCCCGAAGAAGTACCATATGTATTCAGGGGATGTTGATGGTACTCAAAACAATTTAGGGATACTTCCTTCTGGAATTGTCTTCAAAAGGCATCACAAAAAACACCTTTTCCCAGTTTGATGCTTTGGGTAATTAATGGGTAATTAATTACTGGTCTTGGCTCTAAATTACTTTTGGAAATTTGAGTTATTTATCACTATTAATGATATTCTTTAAAATGTGCCCTAGGCTCTATAGCAATGAGACAATCTTTACATGTAGCTTCTATTAGGAGTACTTTACATACATTAAATCATTCAACCCTCAAAATAGCCCAATGAAGTAGGTATGGGAGTCACCCCATTAATAGATGAAGAAACCAAGGCACTGGGTTTTCAACATACCAAAAGTCATCAACTAAAAGGAGGTAGAACCCTCTTGTTTGAGTAATTGGGACATCATTGGAGTAAGTGTCATTTCTTTTTCCCTCAAATTATCTTAAAGGGAATTGTATTCAATTCAATTCAATTGTATGTTGAATTCTGACTTTGGTTATTTTTTTTGTGTGTGTGCATGTGTGTGTGTGAAGTCATATTTCCTTATAATTAATTCCTGCACTGATTATTTTATTTAGCCTCCTTCAAAAATTATTTTACTCTTTAAGAACAAAGCCTTTTCTTGTATGATATAATGGAGGTTTGCTTCTACCCTAAATGTAAAGAGTGTGGTGTAAAGGCAAGCAAACCACAGAACTGTTCGTGTTGCATCTGTCTCTATCTCCTCCTTTAGGGAGAGTGGTCTTTACACTGCACTAGCAGAAAGAGATGACCATGGCAACAACCACCCTGTAAGGTAGCTGTTTGTTTGTCCCATTTCAGACAGAAAGAAACTGAGACTCTCACTGAGGTTTAAGTACCTTACCTAAGCAGTACTGCTAGCAAGAGGCTGAGGTCAGGGCTGGCACTTTTCCCACTGTACCTCAGTTCCTTCAGGGGGTATGTACAAAGTTTCTGTTTGTGTTTAAAGAGAAATCAACCATAATTGTCCAAGATGGAGAAAACTAACTTAAAAGTAGTTCCTCTAAAAGGCAGATCAGATTTGGCTCAGAATTAAAGTCTGAGACAGGCAAGAGAATTCCAAGCTGCTTTAACAGAATTCTAGCCTCGAGATGTAGATACATTTTAACCCAGGACATGAAAACACAGTATGCTGTTAGGTCAGAAGGCTGAACATGGGGAAGCAGAGCATGACCCTCAAAAAAGGAGAAGTGGTTTTTTTAAAAGAATCTAGGTTAAGTAATGAAGAAATGAACAATTGCAGAGTACCAATTACACATCATGTACTGTTATTAGGATCTTCTGCACAAAAAGTCCTTAAGGATTCTTATCATCCTTCCTTTACAGTGGCAGAAATGGAGGATCAGAACAGTTATGGGGCTTGTCTAAGGTTACACAGGTAGAAAGTGGTCGACCTGGGCTGGGGCCCAGGACAATCTGAATCTATGTGATATGTGCCTTCTGTTACTACACACTGGCTTGTGATTAACCCAAAATTCTAGAACAAAATATTTAAACAGATAGCCAGAAAGCACTTGGAAAAGAAGGTGATAACCCTAGGTGCCAGCGCAAAGAAACAGGGCAAACTGAACCTATCACTCTCTCTGATAGGGTTTCTGGCCTGGTAGGTCTAGGCAATGCCATAGACACCCCAGGTCTCTCAAACGCAGTGTTGTTCTGGAAAAAAAGAATGAAAATATGTGCCCAGGATTAGGGCACAGTTAGGAGAATCATTGTGTGGTGAACAAAGGAGGCTGAAGGGTGTTATCAGTGGATGGTTGTAAAACTGGAGGGTGGTGACATGCCATGGTTCTGTGTCCTTAGCCTGGTTCCATTCATGTATTTGTTCACTCACTCACTCACTCACTTGCAAGCATTAATTGAATGGCAATGACACACTAGGCCTTATGTCAAGAACAGAGAATTTGGGATGGACACCAAAATGCACCATGCAGAATCTTCTTCAGAAGGTTTCCTTGCACCAGTTGCTGGGAGGGCTATTGGCAGCCTTCAACTGTCAGCACCTCAGGATCTGCCTCAACTGCAGAGAGCTACCTAACCCAAGGGCATGCCCCTTCCTAGTGTGGCCCACATCAGAGCACTGACTGGTTGAGCAGTATCAAGGTTATTCATCTTAGCCAAACTCACACTAACTCTGAAGGCTCCTACTAGTTCCTGAGTTTCCCTGGGATCAGCTCAGGCTGTTGTTCGTTGTGTAAAGCAGCTCAACTTCTCCCTCTGCCCACCCCACATCACAGGTATTAAGTCCAAGGTCACTCCTTAAAAAACATCTTGCACACTGAACTTGGAGTTGGAGTCATTCTGCTTCATTGAAAACTCACTGGTAAAAGAAGGGGCTTTACCATTTGTTCATCCTTTAAAGAGTACAACTACAATCAAGGACAAAATTACATATTTGGTTTAATAAAAGGAAGACTTTTCTTTCAGCAATGGAACAGCCTGCCTTAAAAAACAGTGAACCTGCATAAACAGAGGGACACTGGAGTGTCTCTGTTCAACCTGTTGTTAGCTAACAAGCAGCACGGTATCACTAGTATTTATAAATTAGTGATTAGAAAATTATTTTAGAACATTCTGGATTTAATAGGTACTGGGAATATTTTAAAACATATATGGGAAGAAATCCCGTTTCCTAATGAACTCTCTGAAATAATCTGAGATTACTTAATTCTAACCTTAAGATGCAGATACAATATAATTCAGGACCCAGTGGAAGAAACTGTCAAAGTCCACCAATAGCCATTTGTTCTTTTGTCTTTTAGTAATAAAACCCCGAATGTTAGCTGGCTACTACATGTTTATCTAGCAAAACACTACATTTTCCAGACTCCCTTGCAGTGAATGTGTCCATGTGATTAAATTGTGGCAGTGGGATCTGGGTGGTAGTGATGCGCGCAACTTCTGAGTTAAACTCTTAAAGAAAACCACTTGCTTTTTATTTATTCTTTCCTCCATCCCAAGGCTGGTGCATGGAAGTACTTGCAGTGGTAAGGCAGCAGTGCTACTCTAGGAAACGAGAAGCAATAATGCAGAAAATTCCTGGGTTTCTGAATGACCACTGGAGTAAGACTCTTTTACCTCTGGACTGTCTATCAGCTTTGACTTTCACTTGGGAGAGAAAGAAACCACCTATATTGTTTAAGCCATTATTATTTTGGTCTCTGTTAAAACAGCTTAACAAATATTCTAACTTACACAGATGCCAAATCAACCTGACCAGATGGCAAACCTGGGTGATGTTCATTCTTTGCCCTGTAAGCTTGGTATCTTATCAGCAGGCTGGAACATGATAAGAAAAAGAATTATTATCCTTTACCTGTGAGTTAACTCCTGCATTAGCCTTCTGCCTTTTTGGTGCTCTGCCTTGTCCTGGCCAACATTATATTTTATTTCTATATCAAAATCAAGGGCTAAGGCAAAATCTGGACTAAAATTTTGTTTATTTGTCTAACTGTACAATAGGATTGTTGCCAGCAATTAAAATCTTGATTTGTCTTGCTTCTGACACTTTGTCTTGAGAAGTAAATTTCAGATAAGTTTATATTGTATATACATATAATTATATGATTCATTCATTCCTCCCATTTCATTTCATTCGTTAATTTGACCGCCCAATATATATAGCGAAACTATTCAAGTATAATAAAACCAATTCATGATAAAAGAGATCAAATTGGTTATAGTTCATGGATACATATTAACAAATAAATGAAAAGAATAAGTGAGGCACGACTTTATCTTAAAAACTTCAAAAGAAACATAAATCAGAAGTCCAACGTAAACCATTGTTATGAATAATTTATTATTTGAAATTTCCTCATTTCTATTAATGTAATGATTGATGCTTTTGTAGTATAAAAACCATAGTTTAAATAAAATATTCTGATATATCATTAACTTGTGTAGACCCTATTTCCTTTTTAGTGCCTGAAGAAAGTATAGATGTATAATTGTCTGCTCTTTTGGCTGGAGACATGAAAGTCCAAAATCATTGTCATTTTGATCATGGCACCAGCTGGATTTTAGGTTATTTCTGCTTATCTGGCTCTGGAGAGGAAGTGCTGCATATGTCATTTATAAAATATATGTACATGGCTGGGTGCGGTGGCTCACACCTGTAATCCCAGCACTTTGGGAAGCTAAGGCGGACGAATCACCTGAGGTCAGCAATTCGAGACCAGCCTGGCCAATGTGGTGAAACACTGTCTCTACTGAAAATACCAAAAGTAGCCAGGCATGGTGGCACGTGCCTGTAATCCCAGCTACTTGGGAGGCTGAGGCAAGAGACTCACTTGAACCCGTGAGGTGGAGGTTGCAGTCAGCCGACATCATACCATTGCACTCCAGCCTGAGCAACGGAGCAAGACTCTGTCTAAACAACAACAACAACAAAACTATCTATATCTATATCTATCTATATTTACACACGGGTTATCAAGGAGAGGGCAAAGATTCTAAAGCCAAGAATATGTTTTCAGTTACAACCTCTCTTTAAACTCATGTACATCCAGAAACCTGCTCACCTTTTCCTAAAGTAGTAACAGCTCACTCTTCCACACCAACTATGAAAAATTATAAATATTTAGGAATCACAAAAATAGGAGATCCAGGTTCTCACATTACAGGGAACAAACTGGAGGTGTGGGTGCAGGAATGGGAGCTGAGGGTCCCTTGGTCTGTGGCGTTGTTGGTTTGCAGAAACAGAGTAACTCCGAGGTCACTCTCTCTGGGTGTCTCCATCTAGTTTTCACTCTGCTTCCCTTAACATTTTTTCATCAGAATCTTAACCACATCATGTCAATATATTTCCTTAAAAATAGATGTTGAGAAGAGCTTAGAGTAAACCACCACATTTTGCTGCATCCTTAGCAATGTATCTGGTTGGAGGAATAGCTACCAGAAAACTTAGGCATACATATTCCATTCAAAAGAGGGAATCTCTTCCTTCCTGGATTCAGCTACATTCCGGCAAACATCCACTATGTTTCTGGGACTGTGCCGGTACATTTGCTTTCACATAAATGTGTTCACTTAATCCTCTGAACTTGCCTTCTTTTACTTACCCCAGGTAGCTTCCAAAGGGCCAGTTTATTACACAGAGAACAAACTCAGAGAAGTGAATAAAATAAACTGCACAGACATGGCTGTAAACTGGTTTTAGACATTTAAGGAGATTTTCAGTAAAAAATATTATTCAGTAAGTGAAAAATAATTTGAAAGATGCCACTGAAAAGTGAAAGAGTGTGCTTTTAAAATACCACCATTACTAGAACTCACAGGCCAATATGTAACTTTAAAATCTGCACCTTCCATTATAGAAGGAAAAGAAAACTAATACATTTCATGCTTCCCTTTTCAAGAAGACATCTTAAAGTAGCAGGGGAGTATATGATTAAAAATCACCTTAAATATTATTTACTGTGGTTAGTTTCTCTTAGCAATCATTTTGGTTGTTACCAACAGTAGTGATCAAGTCCATTATAAGCATTAAACACTAAAGAAAGCGTCATTATAGACACTTTTCATCCCAGGGAGGCAAAAGTTTATTCTCAAAAGATGGATGATTACAATTCATTTAGAAAGGTTAGTTGAGATGTTTCCTGAAGCATCTCGAAAATGGTTCAGCATTTATTAACTGCTCTGTTCAGGGGGAATGCTGTACGAGATCACATCTCTCTAAAGAAGATGCCAAGAACACATTAGCTGCCAGTTTGAGAGCCTTCATCTGTTCCTCACAACCATTTTTAGAAAACAATGGTGGCATTTATCAAACAGAGAAAAGGCTGTACATGTTGGAACCCAGAATTCAGCAATTAAAGAAACTTAGTAGCTGGGAATTGGGGAATGAAAGTGCAAATTGTGCAAAAATAATCTCTTTTTTTTTTTTACCCCAAATCTTAGCTTGTCTGTAGGAAAATACCTACTTGAACAATATAAATAGGACAATACTTATATCTGAGGTACCTTAAAGATGAGATTATTTAAGTCAATTTGATAATACAATAGAATGAAGGATATGAGTTTTAAATTTGATTTAGACTATGATTTGGATTAGTTTTTGGTTTTAGAGCATAGCAATACAAAAAATAACCAGTTTCCTTCCACGTATTTTCATGTGGTGTATCATAAAAAAGGAAACTAAGATGTGTTTTTAAAAATCACTGTTAGCAAATCTGTGAACTTCATGTTGTTTCTAGTTGCTAAGTCTGCATGAGAGATAATTCTGGATAATCTTTTTATTTTTTTTTCTTTTTAAAATGCTTGCAGGAAAATAAGTCAAAAGAAAATGTGGTTCCATATATTTTTCACCTTTTTGAAAAGCACAAGGACTGCAATATAAAATAAGTACAATTTTCTCAAGCTAGAATGAGCTTCTTAGATTTATAGAATTCATGATATGGTGACCATATGCAGGCTTCAATTTAAGGAGTTTCTGATTGACTTAATGCATATAGGCAGAACATAGCCCTGTTCAATCTCACTAAAGCTTAACACACACACACACAACACTCACCACTGGTGATGGGGAAAGTGCGATGTTGCCTATTGATGCCTTCAATTCATCTACAGTTGCAGCATTCTTAAGAATGTCTTTAGATTGCAATGGTTTAATCTTGATATTAAATTTCTTATGTGATTCTTCTTCTTCTTCCGATTCACTTGAAGAATAAAAGTGCTTTCCTTTGGTAGGTAGAACACAGTTAAAGATACATAACTCTTTCTTCTACTGGGAGGCAACGACTCCAAGACAAGAGCAATTGCATATAGAGACAGCAAAAGTATCCTTAGATGGCAGAAAATCAAAGCAAAACATACAAAAGTAAAGGAGGAAGGGGTTAGAATTTATTCACCTTTCCTCAGAACATGATCAAGGATGGTGAATTTCAAGAAGCAATGGTTCTAATATCCTACATTTTTGCTGCAGTTGACCATTTGTTGTGTCATACTCAGCACACACAGACAAGCACATGTGAGCTTACTCATCTACAGAGAGAGGAAGGCTGCTTTATGAATGATCCTCGATGAGTTTTAAATGCATCAGTGTGACATGCTTTGCCCAGAGTTGAATTGTAGGGAGAGGACAGTAAGAGCTATTTTCTAGTCACTGTAAATGACAGTCATATCAGGGATTAGCGTTTTTTTAGCACGTTTTTCTCTTTCTCCTCTCTCTTTTCTATGAATAGATTAAGGCAAAATGCCTGCTTGCTAGAGCTCAGGGTGTTCTCAGTGCTGTTTATTCATCTCTAATATTAGGGATAACAGGACTTGTGAAGATTCGGTTATTTTATTACTTTTGTAAAATCTGAATTTATCCTACTGTTTTCTGAGAGTGAATGAAAATTAAAATAAAAAAATAAAGAAAGGATATAGCCGGGTTCCTCGGGTCTGATGCTGTAGCCTTCTTCATCCAGCTCAGGTGAGTTCTATAAAACACAAGTGCACATGAAGTAATTATTATCCTAACAGTGATCAAGAAATTATTTTTTTTCTAGAGTCTTCTATTTAAGGATATAGAAAAGTCTTTTCTTTTAGGAGATGAAGTTTTTACTTTTGGAAGTGAATTCTGAGCAATATGTTTAGATATTTACTCAAGGATACTTGGAGAGTCCTCCTACTGGGAAAATAAACGAGGAGGAATCAACTGTCAATGAAAGAAAGCATTCAAGCAGAATTTAACATGCATTTCCTGTAAGCCAAGGACTGTGCTAAGCAACATGGGTGATAAGAAATGTAGATTATTTGTCCTCAGGGAAATTGAAGTGTGTTTCGGTAGGTAAAAATTAAAAAGAAAATACAAAACACAAAACACCTGTGTTAGACAGGGTTCCAAGAAAAGGAAATTAGTGAGGTTTAAAAGAATCAGGGAGGTCTTTATGGGTCTTTCAGGACAGACAGGAGAGGGCAGAGTAGGAGCTCCTTCTAGGTGGTAAGGAAGAGCCTGTTCAGAGACACCAAGATGGGAGTGGACACTGGGTGACTCAGATGGGGAAACAGAGGGGCAACAGCAAGGATGACATGGCTGGAGAAGAAGCTGCACAGCGGGAGATGGGGAGATGAGACTACGGAGGCCAACAGGCCAGGGGAAGAGTTTGGACTTGAGGTAGCTACTGCAGCTTCTCAGCTAGGGTGGTGCATACTGAAAGCAGAATCTTAAGGAGTTCTGGAAGTATGTTCCAGGATAGCCTTGGGGCAGAAGAACTGGAGAAAGAAAAACTAATTTAAAACATGTGCATCGATTCAGGCAAGATGTGCTAAGGATATGGATAGAGTTATTGGTGGGATGGGATGAATCAAGGATGTTTGAAAGGATGGATTGCTGGTTCTTGGTAACAGATCAGTCAGCCATAGGAGAAAAAGCAGAGGGAAGGTTAAAGAGGAATCCAAGATTTCTACCCTCAAATTGTGGGAGAGTGCTGGTACTCCCAGTTGAACTAATTCTAACAGCAGACAACTAACATTTTTTGGAAAGAAGCTGAAAACATAAAAAGGCAGTTTGCATTGTTGGGATTAGAATGATCATATTTGGATTCTTATTATATGGTAAGCATTGTGACCCATATTTTACCTCACTGAGCCACATAACAAGCATATGTGAAAAGAATTATCCCATTTATCAAGGGGGAAAATAAGAGAAATCAGACGCCATTTCTCAAGGAAACACACCCAACAAATGTCAGATCTAGGTTTTGATCCCAGGTGTTTCAGACTATACCCTATGTCCTAGAGGGGAGGAAGATGAAGCATTTGTAGGTGGCCCTGTTGAAGTTGAGGTTATAGGTCTGTCAGTGAGAGAAGGCAGAGTTGGAGAGTTAGTTTTGGGAGTTAATAAAGCAGTAAAAATGCCATAACCATGGAGAAAGAAGAGGGTCTACATACCATGGAAAAAGCCCCCATTAAAAAAATCTTTTTTATTGTCTATATTTAAGGTGTACAATATGTTTTGATATGCATATACATAGCAAAATGACTACTACGGTTAAATTTACATTTCTGTTACCTTCCATAGTTGCCCTTTTTATGTGTGTGTGTATAAGAGCACTTAAACTCTTAGCAAATTTTTAGTACATTAGATATCTAGACTTCATCTCACCTTACTGCAAATTTGTACTCTTTGACCTACTTCTTCCATTTCCTTTCTCTTTCTATCCCTGCTGACTACTTTTCTACTGTTTCTATGTATTTGACTTCTTTTTCTTTTTTAAGACAAAGTCTCTGTGTTGCTCAGGCTGGAGTGCAGTGGTGCGATCTCAGCTCACTGCAACCTCTGCCTCCCGGGTTCAAGCAATTCTCGTGCCTCAGCCTCCCATATTTGGCTTCTTTTTAGATTCTGCGTATAAGCAAGATCATACAGTATTTTTCTTTCTATGTCTGAAACTCACCATTTTTTTGAGCATTTATTGTGGTCTTCCTCTTTTCCTCCTTCTTCAGTTCTCAGAGTTGCTTTTTTTTTTTTTAATACAAGTGTACTGAGGTAACTTACCTGCTAAAAACCCGTCCCTGGCTTCTCGCTGCATTTAGAACAAAAGTCAAGTGCCTCTGTGTAGCCAATAAGGCCCAGCAGGGCTGGCTCCTGCCCCTCTCTCTAGCTTCGCATTTGTAATTATCTTCCATTGATCCCCTCTCAGCCACATGTTCTCTCCTTCCCAACATTTGTGATTTGGGTGCTTCAAGCACTGTCTCATTTCAGGGACCTCATCAACTCTGTTCCCCCTGCCTGCAATTCTCTTCCCCCAAATGTTCAGCCTGTTAGCCTCTATGTATATGTTAGGCCTTTGCCCAGAGGTCACATCCTCCCTGAAGCCTTTCCTGCCAAAATCAGGTTGACTTGCCTCTATTCTGAAAGCTTCTAAGAAGTAGAACCAGGGCTGAAACACCCAGATTTAATATTAAAAAAGCATTTTTTGAACAAATACTACAGGCTAGGCAGGTTACTGAAATGTTTTGCAAATAATTAGCTCCTTGAATCCTTGCAACAATGACACGTGGTAACTACTGACTTCTTTTTTGCTACCCAGCAAATAACTACTCCAAGGCCACACACAGCTGATATGTGTGGGGGCTAGATCAGGGTGTCCAATCTTTTGGCTTCCCTAGGCCACATTGGAAGAAGAAGAATCGTCTTGGGCCACACATAAAATACATTAACATTAACAATAGCTGATCAGCTAAAATAAATAAATAAATCACAAAAAATCTCATAAAGTTAGACAAGCTTGGACAAGATCTTAAACCCAGTTCTGACAGACTCTATTGTTCTTAGCCCCATCCTAAATATGCCAGACACTTCCTAATGACATGGAGAGCATTTCGCTTATTTCTAAGTCCTATTATAAGAATGCCTCAACTCATTTTTAAACTGTAAAATACTTAATAAAGAGAAACACTCTTCTGATACTCACATATCTTTCCCAATCAATTTCCGCATAAAATCCATTTGGTGCCCCATTGCTTTTCTTCTGTAATAAATTTGAAAATGAATTTAGAAGGAAAACATTTGAATAAAAACAAAGGGACAAAGAACATTTAACTCTTATCTGCATTTAGCAAAAGCTATCAAAATCCAGCACTGGAAAGACATATTAGAGCAGTTTATTAAGGAGCCACATTTGTGTAATGGAATGGTAAATCTAGCTGCTGTGACACTGCATAAAAGGGCATATGTACTTATTTCACAAAAGATTGTAGGATACTGAGGCACAGGGATATTAACGATGAACTGTTCAAATTTTATTCAATTACTGAAGAATTAGCAGCACCTTTATTGTAATGGAATCCTCTAAATCTACAGGAGATATAGCCGTGTATATATGTATTTTAAATGGTAACACTTTTACCTCCATGCTGCTATTATATACAATTAGTTACAACATATTCAAAGAGTACTCATCCAAGTCATTAACTAGTCTTTTAGCATTTTAGCACTCAATTTTTTTGTAACTACCCCCTTGATAAAACACAGAGTAAGTCAGCTCTAAATCAGTTCATTCAGTTCCTAGTTATTAAAAATAATGTTTTTTTCAAATGGCTTTTCTTATCAAATTTTAAAAATAGAATTTGAGGATTAATGGTGGATTTTTGTCACCCATGTGATCTGTGCCTCCATGAGCACGCATCATTGCAAGTTTACTGGATATCAGCACTACTCTCTTCTTAAAGTTTTCTTTGTCCCCTAGTACAACCATGACACATGGCCACAAGCACTTGAGCAAAGATGTGGCATCACCCAAATAGATATTGCCAAGATTTTCTATGTCTTGTGAGCAAACGACAAACACAAATCACGTTGGTAAAGGAGGGTTCATTCAACATTCTTATATTTAGCACATGGAGCAAGGGTATGTCACTGCGCATAGCAGATCTCAGAACAACACACATCAAATGGTGACGCATGAGGCTTGGACACAGGACCTCTAATTTTGCAACAACAAATAAAGGCCACTTGAACTGCAATGTAAACAACTAATACCCAATTTGACAAATGGGTGGAGAAATTAGATTTTTATGTGTGCACATAGGATCACTAGATAACCCAGAATAATCGTTATCATTGAATAACAGTGAATATTGACTGGGCATTCTATGGACTAGCAGGGCTTTGGCAAGGGTGAATAATGCACAAGAAATAGATAATGTGTTCATCCCCTCTTTCTTCCAATATACTACCACTGCACTAGAATTTACAAATATAAGAACTGGGCCATGCCTCCACAGACAAGCATCCATGGACATAAGGTCTGTGACCATCTCCCTCTTTGTCCCACTTCTGACATAGATTATTTGTATGCAGACTACATCATTTTAATCTTCCCATATAATTGCCTTCATTGAATTAGTGCTTCAGTGGTATTTTTTCTACTTTGAACAAAGGTCTTTGTAAAACCTGTCATACGAACTCTGCCTATGTGTACGTTACGAAGCCACTGTTGAGAACTGGTCCATTACATAATGTACCACTTAATAAAAATTATTCTCTCACTTGGGAATAGACAGGGCTCCTATTTTCTCTTTATCATATTTACTTTCTCTTTTAATTTCTGCTTTACCAGTCTGTTTGTATATGACTTCTTTGCAAAGTGCTCCACTCCTTCTTAGAAAGTATGTATAATAAACAAGTTCAATATAGACATTTAATTTATATTGATAGGAGATCAAAAGGACTAAGCAGATTCCAGAAAAGTAAACTCATGAATTTTGTGATCTAGGATTGTTACCCAAAACCACAGATTAGATAAATTACTGAGTTCAAAATTTTCAAAGTTCTACAGTTTGCTTCCATGATAATCTCATCTTCGTAACTAAGGCCCTTAAAAACCAAGATGGCTTATATGTTCAGCTAAACAGTTTATATATATATATATTTGTGTGTATGTATGTGTGTATGTATATATGTGTGTATGTATATGTACACACATATATACATACACACATACATACACACACATGCATATATATAAATAGACATACACAGATACCTATACACACACACAGATATATATATATACTTGTTTTTCTTTCCTTCCTGACAACATATATCTAATACTGTAGAAAGAAAGCTGAGTTCTAAATTTGACGATCTAGGCAGAGTGAAAATTTCCCAGTTTGCATGAAAACCAAAGGAAGATTGAGATAAAGGGAAAACAAAACTTGTAGAAATTTTTTCTTCAAAAATAGGGACACTTTAAAAACGAATACTAAAAACAAACAACAAATCATAACAATACATTATTTTTGGCAGATATTCAACACACACACACACACACACACACACACACACACAAACACACACACACACGGCTTTATTAGAGGAATTTGGTCTCAGTTATGCCAGTGGATTCTTACAAATATCTTTGGTTTCCCAAGTGAAAATTATCAAGTTAAAGTTAGGCCAGAGCCTGGATGGAATTCTTCTGGCTCAAACCCAAGAAAAAAACAATTCTTTGTTGGTTTAACCATTGAGAAAGGTGCAACTGTAGTACTAGTAATAGTGAAGATAATGAGTCTATTGATTTTCAAATGGAAAACTTTCAAGAAGAAGAAGCAAGGAAGAATATCAGTGAAGTGGGGAAACACCACTTAAAAACCAGGCTTAAGAGTAAAGGAAATATCAGTTAGGCACCAACATATAAACAACGATTTTTCTCTTGGAATTGTAATTATATAGATTTTTACCTTTTCCTTTTTTTTTGTATTTCTTAAAATTCAAAAATCCTACCTTAACATAAGTAACTTCTATAACTTGAATATGATTATTATTTAAAGATAACTGAGACTCACAGTGACGCTAATCATGTCTTCATAGGTATTTTACTTTGGTTAGGCATACATTATCTGTTCTTAGATAACATGATGGGCTAAATAGATAAATATAGTGACAGTTAAGTTCAATTATACATTCATCAAAATTCTCAGTTTCCATTGGGAATGCCTCTGGCTTTCAAGGTCAGCTCATGGCCAGGTAATGATCCTTGGGTGGGGCGTGTTAAAGGTACATGACGTACTGCCTAAATATTATCTTTTCTCCACTGTGGTAGACCTGACTCACTTTGTAAATAATTCTATAGAACAGCACGGCCCAATAGAAATATCTGTGAAGATGGCAATATTCTACCTGTGTGCTATCCAAGATGGTAGCCACTAGCCACAAGTGGCTATGAAGTACTTGAAATGTGTCAAGTGCAACTGAGGAACTGAATTTTAATTAAATAGTCACATGTGGCTACCATAATGTACAACACGGCTATAGGTACTACAGAGTTTGGGCTAGGGTCAGCATCCCCGACTCAATGTCCTTTGGTCAAATACACTGGCTCCTACAGATCAAGTTTCTGCCAAATTCCTGATGTTATTGAGACAGTGCTTATCCTAAGAAATGACTACTCAATTTATGTGGTGATATTTCTATTATAGCCAAAGGCTTCTTTATAGATAGTAGATTCTTTTTAAAATTTGAATTCCTGTCCTTTGTCGATGAAACAGGTAACACACATCTTTTATGTGTGATCACTCTTTAAAAGTATATTCAGATGTCAGTCCATAAAGTCTATATGGTTAATTTAAAAATTGGCCCCAGACATTCAAGAAGTCATTTGGAAATACCTAAGAGTTTTCTTAAATGGAGTAAATGAAAACTACTGTGTTTTCCAAATTTTAAATTGGGATTTTACTCACTGTTTTTTATAACCCTTTGGAAATTTTAAACTAAAATCTGTTTCCTTACCGAAACTTTTTTTCCTCCTTCACGCGCACACTCTGCTTTGCTATTGTAGGGTGGTTCGTGTGGGCTGGGCTGCTGGAATTGATTGTTTTCATGTAGAAAAAAGTGGTTAAAAGATCTGCTTGTTCTTCAAGACACATATAAAGAATTACATGGAGTCAGCAAACATACCATAGAAGAAACCATCTCTAGGCCAAATCATACGGCCTACCAATCTTGGCAGGGTTCCTTAAGCAAAGAGTGGACTTTGGGGCCCATAATGAGGCTCTATTCAGCAGGCCAGCTTGGTTAGGCCAAGAGAAGAAGGGAGGAGGAGGAAGATATGTCCCAGGCACTAGGGACCATGTGGATCTATTTCTCATACAGCCAGCATTTAATTTACACGTAGAGAACAGGCACAAGGACACACAAGAAGAGACTGAATAAAAATGTTTGTATTTCTAACCTAAGTAGGAAAAGTTCAGTTTAGCCTGGATCAAAGCCTTCCTGTGGGTCACAAATACATACAGCACACACAGCTGATAGCTCCAAATCTGTGCCCTTTCCTGCACACCTGTTCAGGGTGATAAAAAATGACCTTCTCACAGCAAAGGCTATGACCCTGATGTTCCAAGTCTATGTGTGGAGGGAAACTGGAACTGCTTGGAAAAAAGTTAGTTTGCCCTGCATAAATTAGAGTTTGTGTCTAGGTTAGGATGCATTGTCACACTCGGACACCATGACAGACAGCTCTGCCAGTGATGGGTACATTCAGCCAGTGGGGAGCAAGGCCCACCTTCATGCATGCAGCCCTGCTGCGAAGCCTCTATAGGTTAAACCTCAGAAGCATTGTCACCAGAGATGAGCTTCGTTAGATTTTGAGAAACTGGCATTAAATAAACAACAGTACATTAAAGCTTGTGTTTACCAAGTAGTTTATAAGCATTAGGTAGGTGCACCACCACCTGTAGTTTGTGGAACTACATTAATGAAACCACACATTTCAACACTTGACATTCAAAAGGCAATAATTTGAAAGCTATATCAGCCAAGCAAAAGTGAACTGGGTCTATAGAAACAAGGGCTGAAGGAAATCAGTCTGAGTTTGAAGGAAAATCAGGTCGGTATCTCTGAGAACTGAATGCAGACAGAAACTCAGTTAGCACTGGTTTCCAAAATTCAGTGACCATAGTAAACGTGGAAAACTTGGAGAACATTTCTAAATGGTAAAACCAGCAGCTGGCTAATAATGTCCAATTACCTATAAAGCCTGTTTCTGAGGAAGTGCATTTATTTTGAACGTAGCCTTTTCCAGAACAGGTCTGTGTTATTTCCTAAGAAATCAAAATTAACTAATTTATCTTTCCTAATAATCATGATCAGTGATATTTATGGCATTTCTAATTAAGTAACAAAGTGGGCACAACTGCTAATAAAGAACGTCATATGATTTGGAATGGTGAAGGACTTGGGGAACTCAGGCATGAAGCCCTGCCCTGGGGGGATGCGTCCCCAGAATGACTGCTGGGTTCATTAATGCAGCACATACTCATCATTGCCTGCCACGTGTCAGCTGCTGTACCAGGTACCAGGGTGCACATTCTACCAGAGATTTAAGTTGGTGCTGCTCAGAACACAGAGAATAGTGAAGCAGCAAGGGGGCCTTAGAGACAATGAGCAGGGGTTTGGAGAAAGAAAATAAGGACAAGACTGAGAGTGGCAGAGGTAGAGAAGCAAGGAATAGCAATCCAGTCTGGGAGCAGCAAGGATAGAAAGCAGAGTAGCTAACAGAGCTTTGCAAAGGTCAGAGGGGACCAGAGAACCCAGGGAGGGGACCAAGCCGGAAGCAAAGAAGAGACACAGAAGCAGAGAGTACCTGAGACAGAGTTAACGAGAGGGCTCTGAGCCAGAAGCAAGAGGTGAGGAGAAGCTGAGTCTTCTGGGTCTTTTTTTTCCCCTGCTGAATAGAGCCTTGATTATAGTGTTACCCAATGTCTGATCAATTTCAGTCTATTTTCTTAACATTTCATGGTAAGAACCACATGAAGGCAAAAGGCGCCCCAAAGCTAAGAACCTTGAGTCAAGTGTGGAAGGAAAATTCCTGCTATAGCTGCAATTAACACCCCAGTTTATGTATAATATTGTGAAGGGTGATTTAAAAAATTTTTTAACCATCAGGTTTATTTTAGTTCCCACTCCAGCCCAATGAGCCTAATGTAAGTCCATTTTTTTTTCAGTAACAGCTGTTCTTTTGAACCTTCTGAATAGGCATCTGATTTAGATTTGAAGGAAGTCATTTTAGGAGTCGGTGCAGACTCCCGTAAGCACAACTCGGATAAATCTAAGCCCATGCACCACGGACTTCTTTAAAAAGCAAGAATTCTGGTGGCCAGCAAGGAGTCAGAGTTAACTGTTAAATCTAAACCCAGTGGACACATTTTCCTCTTTCAGGCTGTAAATTCAGGCTTAAGTGGTTTTCAAGACCATCTCCTACTTTTGAATTTAATATAGAAAATGTATCTGCAGCACAACTACTAAAGGGGAAAAGCTTCTTTGAATTTTCTTGGATCTCAGCTTCATTACAACTTTGTGGCCTCTGTTGGAGAAAAACATTCTCCCATAATGAGCTTTTACATCATTAAATTGGAAATGAAATAACAGTTGATGGGAGCAGCCCCTGCGTGAACTGTCTGGCTTGTGACCCACCATCTGTTTTCCTGCCTGCTCTGGGGCAGGGTTTTAGGTAAATGCCATAAATAAGTCTAGCTTGACCAGGACTATGTTTATGTCCCATGCAATTAATATAGAAAATTCCAATAGTGAGAGGTCCAAAAAGTCATTCAAGCTATTTTTTTCCCTACAGGAAAAAAAAAGGGCTTTGAGAAATTTAAACATAGCATATATTGAAGCACAAACTCAGTAAAAATGGTTATTTAAATACTTACAATTCCATCTCTATCTGGTGAACCTCTGTAACAAAAAGAAATTGATAGCTATTATGATAAGGAATCATTCTTGCCACATAGACTAAAGTACAACAGTAAGAACCAATAACCACCATCCTCCCCTTCCCCAGCATTCCCACCCCAGTAAACCTGGCTAATGAAAACTAAATCAAAACAAATTGGTTGAGTGGTATTTAAGTGTGGGGTATGTGTATGTGGGAAGGAAATTCTCATTAAAAAATTGCAGCCCAAAGCCACATGTGGGAAGGGTAGTGCCTTGGTTCATTTTTGAGAGGAGAGTTTATTAAAGAGACTCCACTCTAGCTGGCTCCATTTAAAACTATCCCACTCTAGCTGGCTAACTGTCCCACTCTAGCTGGCTCCATTTAAAACTATCATGAGGCAAGTAAACCAATTTGCTCTCTCATCTATGTATTTTTGAGAGATGGGGTCTGGTTATGTTGCCCAGGCTGGAGTGCAGTGGCTATTCACAGGCGCAATCAAAAGCGTACTACCCAGCCTTGAACTGCTGGGCTCCAGCGAACCTCTGCTCCAGCCTCCCGAGAAGCTGGGATTGCAGGAGAGCATCACTGAGCCCAGCCGTTTTATCTTTTCTTCTGCGAATGGTCCTGAATTGCCTCCTAGATGAAAAAGCTTCTGTGGTATTTTTCAACTTTATTTTGAGAATTGGTACTTTCCTCCATATTTCTCTGTTTACCTCTCCTTCCATTATAGAAGAGCAGGAAATGGAGAACAACATTTTGCTAAATGCCTCCTTCTGATGACTAAAGCCCGGGGCAGCTATTCTATGGTGGCACTATGCTGCAGTGGTCAAGAGCAAGGGCTTTCGAGTAAGATGAAGCTGGGTGTCCAAATAGTTCTATGACCTTGAACACTTAACCTCTCTAAGCCAGTTTAAATAAGATAATATATAGAGAGAACTTACAATAGTTCCTGACACATGGTATTCAAAACTGTGAGTTGATTATAATTTCTTTTCTCTTCCAAGATGTCTCTTCACTAGGAACACAAAACTGCCCACTTACAGCCACACTGGACTTTAGGGCAGTGTAGGAGAGGTATTAGAGGTATTTTGGAAAACTGGATTACAAGAGCAGAGGGAGAAACTAAAAGGTAGCCACAGTAATTTTATAACCTCCCATTTTAATTCAGTTTTTAAGAGGCTAAAACATACAGCGATACGTATTATGCTTCGAAAGGGAGCCTCATTATTTGGAAGAAAACCTTAATAAGTGCTTGAGGTGAACTTTGATGTCTTGAGGAGTTTGGTGTGGGGTTGGAACCATTCTTCGGAAGGTGCAATCAGGTAAGAAAATTATTGCTTCATGGCAGGGAGCCCGTGAGAAGAGAGAGAGAGAGAGAGAGAGAGAGAGAGAGAGAGAGAGAGAGAGAAAGAGAGAGAGAGAAAGAGAGAGAGAGAGCAATGCAGAGAGTTGGTAGGATGCCATCTGGACTCCAAGGTGTGATTCCCTTTCCCCACCAACATCCCTTCAAAATTAGCAGAATATTCTACTTGGATTATAATACACTTGACAGAGTGCATATTTTTCATAACTAGTGAGTTCTGTGTCCACACAGATGCAGAGGTGAATCAGTGATACAGGGACAAGAAACAGAGAAGATTCTGATATTGAAAGACCATGGGAATTGACAGAAATCTTGAGACTTTTGGACATTACCTGGATGTGGAAATTAACCAGTTTGAAAAAATTTTATTTAAAATAGAATGATAGGAAGAATCTTGGCCAACAAAAGTGCTTGTAATGAGCCAGGTGATTGGTTAGGACCAAAGGATAAAAATAATGAAAACATATTAATCTCAGAGAGAATGAAATGGGTGAGTAAATCCAGTGGGTTATCATGGTCATAGTAAGCCCAGGCTAGCAGGAGAGCACTGAGGATAGGTACCAATCCATACTCATCAAAGCCAATTCTCTTTTTGTATCTATATACTGAGTCAGTCTTTCTTTTTTTCTTTCTTTCTTTCTTTCTTTCTTTCTTTCTTTCTTTCTTTCTTTCTTTCTTTCTTCCTTTCTTCCTTCCTTCCTTTCCTTTCCCTTCCTTCCTTTCCTTTCCCTTCCTTCCTTCTTCCTCTCTTTCCTCTCTTTCTTTCTTTCTCTTTCTTTCTCTCTTTCTTTCCTTCCTTCCTTCCTCCCTCCCTCCCTCCCTTCTTTCTTTCTTTCTTTCTTTCTTTCTTTCTTTCTTTCTTTCTTTCTTTCTTTCTTTCTTTCTTTCTTTCTTTCTTTCTTTCTTTCTTTCTTTCTTTCTTTCCGGAGTTTTGCTCTTGTCACCCAGGCTGGTGTGCAATGGCAAAATCTCAGCTCACTGCAATCTCTGCCTCCCAGGCTCAAGTGATTCTCCTGGCTCAGCCTCCCAAGTAGCTGAGATTATAGGCATGCATCACCACGCCCAGCTAATTTTGTATTTTTAGTAGAGAAGCAGTTTCACCATGTTGGCCAGGCTGGTCTCAAACTCTTGACATCAGGTAATCCACCTACCTCAGCTTCCCAAAGTGCTGGAATTACAGGTGTGAGCCACGGTGCCTGGCCAATATACTGAGTATTTCTTACTAGGACTTCAACTTACTAGGACTTAATATCTCCACATATGAGTAATTCTTACTAGGACTTCAACCTCTGCTAATGGAGCTGGGAGAGAAGTGATTGCATCAACTTTTGGGTAGGATGTGTTTAGAGGCACTGATCCATGTGGAGATGCCTTTGGGAACAGCAAGAAATAGATGCGGCAAAAGCTCGGAGATTGGCCTGGCTGTGGTGTTGCTCACTGTGAATCCAGGTACAAGGTCATATCAGTAGGGGATCTTAAATGGGAGGCATTTGACCTCATGCTTATTGCAGCCGTTGGGATGGTCTTCCACAATTTTTAATCAGAGAAACTGTGATTGTACATAGCAGCACTGGAGTCCTATTCTGATCCTTTGTCTTCTCGACTGATGGAAATGTGGCTCATGTGTCCTGTGGAGTCAGTCAGCATGGTGGCTAAGGGCACCGGCTCCAGTGCCAGACTGCATGGGATCAACCAATGTCGATTTCCTAGCTGCAGAAGCTTGGGCAAGTTACTTCACCCCTTTGTTTCTCAGTTTCTTCATCTATAAAATAGCCATCATAACAGCATATATCCCATAGGGCTATTAGAGGATTCAGTGGACTAACATAAGTGAAGAACCTGAGACAGTCTCTAGAACATAGTAAATGCTCATTAAATGTTTTCTAGAATAATAATTTTTATACACTATGACCCAGGTTAGGGAGTGAAGAGATTTTAGCAGCCTCAGACACTTGGGCATGTGTTCTAATTTCACTTTCTAACCCCCTCTAATGAGGTTTTATATTGTATTTTAAAATAATTTTTTTCTTTTTCATGGCAGACTTATTGTATTTGCTGACTTCTATTTTAAAAAGAATCATCTACCATGGACTTTTGGCATCTATATTTTAAAGTTTCAGTTACCTTTTGTAACTACTGTCTTTTTTTTTTACCCTCCTATCTGTCTGGATTTTAATTCTACCCATTGATATCTTTTCTTTTGGGTGATGAAAGCACAGACACTGGATTTTAGACTAGAATATGGCCTCCAAGTCTTAGTTTGTGGGTAGCCTTCAGAAAGTTACTTATCCCCCTTTGGCACTGATATTTCTCTTTAAAATTGATGTATTACTGCTAACCTTATTTAATTACTAGGAAGACTAAAAAAGATATCAGCGCAACATATGTCCTGCACAGGGCCTTCCACTTAGCACAACCTCTCTCCCTTCCTCTATCAGCTGCTGTAATGATGACCAAATCAGGAAATTCTGGTCCTAACCCCACTGTATATCTTAGGAGGTTCAATCAGCTGAAGTTGGTGCTGGTGTGTCTACCCTAGCAGGTTGCTGAGCAACCCACAGTGAGTTGTAGCAGCCCTGAAAACAGTTTGCATCAACAAGGCTTCAATGATCACAGACAAACACAAGCATTTACTAAAGCTGAAGGGACAGCAAATTGCTAGAGTGCTTTCCCAACCCCTTTGCATTTATGATTTCTTTTCTGAGAATGATATATGATCCAATTACAGAGTTCACGAAAGCATTAGGGAGTTCATGAAAAGCAAAGGCTTATACTAAACATACTAAACAGCTTGTCCTTTGACCATCACTGATGGTGGAACCAGCTTCAGCTATTTTGCTATCACGTAAGTAATTTGGGACTCTCAAATGATAAGTTAAGGAAGGATACTTGGGATTCTTTAAACAAATGTCTCGTTAGAGTACCTCAGAGAGATATTGGGCCTCTACCCGTAGCTGTGAGGAATAACTCAGTTATTTTAATAACTTTAGAAATGATGATGGAAGAGTAGTGCTTTGGCTACATGTAAATTAGTTCAGCCTGCCCTGTAGAGGTTGTTCAACCTTTTCTCTCTCGAGAAAGCTTTTTTCCATTCCAACTTTCCTCACATGCCAGAAATCTCTGGTGCAGTCAATTACAGACATTGTCTTCATTCAGAAATGGATTTGGTTTCCATTAACGATGTTCTCCTGAGATCCATCGAATAGTGTCCCACAAAACACCTGGCACTATATGAGTCCTATAATGCCTTCCCTTATATGACTCGTATAGTGTCTGGCCCTTTAGGGAAATTCGATTCCATCTAGTGTAAATTTCTTTGTTGTTGTTGTTTACAGGTGTGGAAACTGAGGCCCAGCAAAGTAAAGGGTAATTCCCAAAGCCATGGAGTTTTGGCAATGCTGGGACTACAGCCCAGGTCTTCTGATCTAGTGAAGGCATCATCACATATTCTGGGTGGTTAATGATTAGAAAATGGCAAGGGAATATAAATCATGCTGCTATAAAGACACATGCACACGTATGTTTATTGTGGCACTATTCACAATAGCAAAGACTTGGAATCAACCCAAATGTCTAACAATGATAGACTGGATTAAGAAAATGTGGCACATATACACCATGGAATACTATGCAGCCATAAAAAATAATGAGTTCATGTCCTTTGTAGGGACGTGGATGAAGCTGGAAACCATCATTCTCAGCAAACTATCGCGAGGACAAAAAATCAAACACCACATGTTCTCACTCATAGGTGGGAATTGAACAATGAGAACACTTGAACACAGGAAGGGGAACATCACACACCGGGGCCTGTTGTGGGGTGGGGGAGGGGGGAGGGATAGCATTAGGAGATATACCTAATGTTAATGACGAGTTAATGGATGCAGCACACCAACATGGCACATGTATACATATGTAACAAACCTGCACGTTGTGCACATTGTACCCTAGAACTTAAAGTATAAGAAAGAAAATGGCAAACTTCTTAAGAAACAATGTAAATTATATAATCCTCAGAAAAATATTGCTAACTTAATTATTTAGAAAAATTTGCAGGACAACAGTAAATGTAATATTCTTGAAATAAATAGTTACAAAAGAAAATGCAAAAAGAAAATATAAGAACTTAACATTTGGCATCTAGACAAAAAATAACTTTGTTCGCCCAATCCTTTGCACTCTTTGGCTTAAAAACTTTCATGGTTTCAAGGTGGCCCACTGCCTATGGAAGTAGCCCACACACTTCAGCCTGGTACTTAAGGCCCTTCCTATCTGGTCCTGGTCTCCTTTCCAGCCTTGCCTTCCATTATCACATTTACCTGTAACCCCAAGTAGACAAACTGCCCCATTTGTCTTGTCAGTAAATGCCTAGTGGACTTTACTACCTTTCCACTTTTGCTTTTGTTGTTCCCTTTGCATGAAATACACATCCTCATCTTCTTGAAGGCCAAACTCAAGTCTCCTCCCCCACCCCGAAGCATCACTGATCATCAATCCAAATATGAGATTTTTCACCCTCAAATTCCCATGAAATCCCATCTTAGTTGCTTGTAAGGAACTTACACATACTAATTTGTGTCAGTAATAATAAGAGTACCAGCAACTGCCATTTGCTGAGCATTTACTAAGTATTAGGTACCATATTAGTCATTTCAAATATGTTACCTCATTAGTTGTACAAACAATAATTTATGTAGTAGATATTTTATCTCATGAATCATAAATTCTTAAAGGACAAGGGCCCAGGGAAATACTCAGGATCTTGTGACAAAATTTACGCATGATAAAAATATACAGAATGAAAAGCTAAAGGTGAGAATAAATGTGGCTTTCTTCATTTTCACCTGTGCCCATACAACTGTTGCTTTTCCCATTTTCTAACTTTCTTTCAGAGATTCTAGCCAAATGAGGGGTATAATGGGCTTGATTCTGACGTACAGCAAACTACATCAGTTCTGCATTTCTACCTGGTCACAACCACCTGCAGCTGAATAGTTGTGCTCTCCCTACACTGGTCTTGGGCTGGAGTCTCAAGTTCCCGGCCAGTGGACTTCACATATATAAGTTACCTGCTTGGCTGCAAAAGGCAACTGAGGTTTTGTGTCAGAGCCAAATACTTCTGCAGGAGAATTCAAGATGGTCAAATAAGTGGAAGGAAGTTTGTGGAATGAAACTGTTATGTCATTGCACATTTTCAGAGTCTATCAGTGTCTGTGGGCAATTAATTCTCTTGGATATGACACTTAAATATGTAAAAGCATCCCCACAGTTGTTTCTGGCATTTGTTTCTTATTCACTGCTAAATATCCAATAATTCCTGAATTCTGTTGGTTGATTTACAATTTGGCTTGTACAAAATCTTGGCATCTCAAGTAAGAGCTTGGAGATGTTATCTAGTCTACATTTCTGTTTCTGGCTAGGTCTAATCTATCCAAACAGGTGTTTTGTTGTTTCTTTAGTTCAGATTGTAAGGTCAACCCTATATGTGGAAATGAATTATTTTTATCCTTCATAAAAGTAACAGTCACATTTTCTGCCTCCTGAGACTGCTGGGAAGTGTAATGATCAAAAAAAAAAAAAAAAAAAAAAGAAAGAAAGAAAAATGTGATAAAAACTGAACACATGATGAAAAATTTTTACCTTTTTAGCATAAATCTAAGAACTGTTTATATTGAATAATTACAATTTACTCAGAAATGAGGAAAGCAAATAGTACACAATATCCGAGAAAACTGTGGCCATCTTATATTGACTGTGATAAGAGCATCTCTTATGCAAATAGCTTCTTCGAGGAGGCAAACTCCTAAAGTACATACGTAGAATCAGTGTCCTTTTCTTTCTTCCGTATTCCAAAGGCCTTCCTTGTACGTTTTTTCAATCCTGTGGGAAAACAGCAAAGGGTCAAAAACTCTCTCAGCAACATTCAAGTGAACATATTTTGAAGGTTGTAACACACCAGTTAGACTTAAATGTTTAGAAAGCAATGAAGTTTCTGAAGTTGTATGTAAAGGTATGTGTGTCTGCATGTCCATATGATTCATTATTACATTTTTTCAATAGTTACTTATCAAGGACTTCATACCATAAGTTCTTAGCACTATAAGCAACATAAGGATATATGGATACATGGGTATAGAAAAGATTGCAAGATTTTCTTAGACTACTGTTGTTCATCACCCATATTGGGGTTCTGCCAGGAAGCCAAATCACAGATTTAGAAGAATAGCCATTTTCAGGTTAGACATATTCTTTAGACTGGGATAATGCCAAGACATGGATCATGTGGCCCATGCCAAGAGAACTGCACAGATCTGACACATCTTTGTGTCTCGTATTCCCATCTTATCTTTTACTGCTTCCTCCAGTCTGTGGCTGCATTGAATTATTAACCATTCTCTGAACACACCCCAAAATTTGCACTCCTGTGTCTCTTTCTTTCTTGTTCGGTCCTTACTTACAGTTGAAATGCTTTTTCTATTTTGTGGACGTTTAGAATTTCAATTCATCCTTTAAGGCCCAGACCAAATGTCTCTCCTTCTGCAGGGCTTCTTAATCCTAGAGGCGTAAGACACTGACTACTCTATGCTCCCCACAAAATGTTGCTCTTATATGTATTATGATATATCAAATGGTATCACCTATTAGTCCCTGTGTCAGTTTCCCTAGTAGGCTGTGATCCTTTCTTGAACAAAGGCCAAGGCTCCCTCATTTATAAGTCCAGATAATATTTGTGATTTCAAATATCTTCCAGGAAGCACCATTCAAGCAGCACTGGCTAAGAAAGCCCTTTTCTTCCATCCTGACAAGCCAAGCCCAGTCTTGGTTCTTCTGTACTTCTCTTGTCAAGGCTGTTTGTGTTTCCCATCCCTCACATGTTCCATAGTTACAGACATGCCTTGTGCTTCTGTTAGTGAGTATTATTCAAATATACTAAATGTTTATATATTCAAACCTTAGACTTATTATTGGTGGTTTGGAAAGTCTTCTTGAGAAATTGGAGCTGAGAAAGTCACTGATATTTCAAATTTGTTTGGTACTACCAGGTGGAACAAAGGGAAAAACAATGACAGATTCAGTGAGTTGATGATACATTTTTCCAAAACATGTGAGTCAGCCCAAACCACTCAGACTATCTGAGTCATTCATTATCTGCCTCTTAGGATACTACTCAAATACAATCTTCAAAATGTCTCTGTTCTGTCTAATTTTGTATTTTAATAGTCATCCATTTAAGACACTTAGGTCTTTAAAATGTCAATTTTTAAAAAAGTCCTCCCATATAAAACTATTTTCCGTTACTCTCCACATGAGGAGTTTATAGGAAAATGTATTGACATTTAAAACTACCCACCCATAATATTAAGAAACACCTTCTCCCCTTTTATTTTTCATTTTGTTTATTAAAAACTTCTTTCTCACCTCTAATTGTCTTATTCCCTTATAAGGACAAAGTATCATAGTTACATAATCATCAGTCTATCCCTACTATTTTCCTTGGTTTTCAAGTCTCCTAATTGGCTTCTCTTTGCTTCTGTTTTAGCTTCGAGCTCACAATGAATGCCATATTCAGCAATCACCACTGGTTTTTACAGGACTGTAAAACCAATGCTATTATCATCTCAGGGTTTCAAGTGCTTTACTTCCTGTAACTTGACCTATGAGATAAAAAATAGCATGCCTTACCAAATATATCAGAAAATACACACACATTCCAGTACTCTTTGTATTAAATTGGTAACAGAACAGGAAATAGTAGTTTTCCACAGACCCTGTGCTGGTTTTGACCACCAAGTTTGGACAATAGCCAACATGAACTAGGTCATGAACATCATGTGTTGTCCACTTTCCAGTGAAAAAAATGCACTGAATCAGGATCCAGGAGGCAGAGAGTCCATTCCCAGCATCAGTTCTAATTGCATAGCTTAATACAAGTTACATTACCTTTATGTTTCAACCTCTCAGCCTATAACAAATCAGCCAACGATAAGAGACGAAAGAATCTGCACACCTTCACAAAATGCCATGCCTATATCTGTAGCTTTACTTTCACTGGAAATGATGTTTTTAACACATGAAATACACTTATACATAGAATGTCAATAGGCATACACCACAATATGTGAAATTCTAGAAAAAAAATGCCCTAATCAAATTGTTGAATAAGAAAAAAAGTTTGGGCCAGGTGCAGTAGCCTATGCCTGTAATCCTAGCCCTGTGGGAGGCTGAGGCGGGTGGATCACTTGAGGTCAGGAGTTTGAGACCAGCCTGGCCAACATGGTGAAACCCCGTCTCTACTAAAAATACAAAAGAATTAGCCTGAGTGGTGGTGCACACCTGTAGTCCCAGCTACTTGGGAGGCTGAGATGGGAGAATTGCTTGAATCTGGGAGGCAGAGGTTGTAGTGAGTCAAGATCAGGCCATTGCACTCCAGCCTGGGTGACAGAGTGAGACTTCATCTCCAAAAAAAAAAGGTTGAAAACTTTTTACTTCTTCAAAAGTGGAAAGGTTTAAGAAGTTTACAAAAAATATGAAGAAAACTGAAAGACTAAAGCAAATGAAGTTATGAAAGTAAGTTATTCATATCTTAATGAATCTTTCAGAAGATCCAAGGAGAAAACAATCACACCAACTGTGTTAAAATTGAGTGAAGGGAAGTGTGTTCATGTCTTTTGAGAATTCATCAAAAAATATTGAAACTCTTCAACAAAGAGCAGCAATAGTCAAGGATCTTATAGGAATAACAAATTTAAGAGACTATGTTCAATAATCCGATAAGTTTTAAAAACAGTATATCCAATGATTTTTGACTTCAGGTAGTTATGATTACAATATAATTGCATCTAGGGTGGAGCACAAATTTTTTTGTCAACTATTTTTTACCAAAAATGGGAGGGCAAAAACTAAGCGTCCCTTAAGAAATGTGATGACTCTTCCCTTGCCAACATCAAAACAAAAACATCTAAAGGGAAATAATTTTACTGTCTTGATAATCTGGGGTTAGAATGGTTCTCTCCCAAGCTATGGAATTGAGAACACTTTCTTATGTGGATCCAAAACTGCCACACTGTGTGTCTGGCCTGTGCCTCTAACTTCTCCACCAAATTCAGATTCCTTTAGCTTCTTTTGGTGTTGTGGGAAACAACCACACACACACACACAAAATTAAATATAGATGGATTTTTAAAAGGTTGAAAACTTATTTCAAACTAGGCAGCCCGGTTATAATGTTACCAGACAAATATCATCAATGTCTTACCAGATAAGATAAATAAAGTAACAGATGTGGAAATCGATGATAGTGATAGTGTCAAAAATACAGAGTAGAAAGAAATTTTGTCATTGGAATACTACCAGCTACCAGTGCTGAGGTCCTACCTATTGCCCAGGCCCTGGATGCGTATGTTGCCTCCTTTAAATCTCTTACAAACTTTGTGAAAAAGTAGGTGGTATTTTTCCCTAAAGTAGTGAGCCTGAGAGTTTGCCTAAGTTAGGTTTTATTATCTTCATCCCCAGCAAGGAAACTGGAGGCTACTCTTACTCCAGTACTCCCCAGCATGTTGGGGTTCTTCAGGGCTTTGTCCTAGGCAATTCTATATCCTTTTCTGAGGGTGATTTCATCCACTCACGTGGTTTCATTCATCATATGTATGCAGATAAATCCTGAATTTATAGGTGAGGCCCAGCACAATCTCATGAGCTTCTGAATACAGAGTACTTCTCATACTCAGGCTCCTACAGAGACATCAGATTTCTTCAAAAACCTTCAGACTCTACTTTTAATACATATGTAATAAAAGCTGCAAAGATATGCCCAATCATTTAGTTTCTAATTATTTTGTGAGTAAAATTCCTTTTACAATGAAATGGCTCTCCATCAACAGATAAATGGATAAGCAAAATGTGGCCTAGCCATGCAATGGAATACTATTCAGCCATAAAAAGGAAAAAAGTACTTATACAGGCTGCAACGTGAATGAACCTTGAAAATACTATGCTAAATGAAGGGAGCCAAACGCAAAGAGCCACGTATTACGTGATTTCATTTATATGAAATTTCCAGAGTAGGCAAATTCATTAATACAGAAAGCAGATTGGAGGTTGACAGAGGCCGAGTGGAGTGGGAAAGGGGAATGGCTGCTTAACGAATACAGATTTCCTTTTGGGGTGATATAAAGTTCTGGAACTTGATGGTGGTTATGTTGCATGACATTGAGAATGTACTAAATGCCACTGAGTTTTACACTCTAAAATGGCCAAAATGGAAAATTTTATTTTGTGTGTATTTTACCATGATAAAAAAGAAATGGAATAGTTCAAGCCAGATTATTCTGTGACAAGGGAGGACAAGGATGGGAACAAGTGGGGAAGAAAGGAAAGAAACAAGGCAGATTGGCTTAAAAGTTTGTGGCACATGTTACTGCTTTTGGTTTTTGTCTTGTTTTGCCAAAGTTGTCAGATATTTAGTAAAGACATCAATACGGTCACAAATTCCTGTTCATAGTGACCTTCAGAATCAAGAAAGTAATATTTCCATGAGAATTTACAGCAGACATCCAGCTTTTCTCACTCATGTATCAGAAGTTTGCAAAAAGCTTTTCATAAGCAAATGCATTTTTGTCATGATGCTTGCTCCTTTGATCTGTTCTCCTAAAATCACAATGTTATATTAATCCCACTAGATGGTGAGCTCCATGAAGTCAGCAGCTCCATCCATGCGGGCATCTTGTTTATTTTCACCTCCCCATGTTGCATGAAAAGAACATTCTTTAAAATAATTGGCTCAATTGTGTTAAAAGAGAGGCAGTATTTCTCAATCCCCTTTTCAAACTGCAAATAAGGCCCCATTGGAAGCCTGTGAAGGCGGTTTGTTAGGGCAAAACCTCAATTTTAAAATGAAACAGAAAAACGTGCATTGCCTATAGAAAGGATAAATACTGTTTCATGAAACTCTTGGCCAAATTGGATGGTGATATAAAATACATTTCTTATGTGACATGGTTTGGCTTTATGTCCCCACTCAAATCACATCTGGAATTGTAATCCCCACATGTCAAGGGAGGGACCTGATGGGAGGTGATTGGATCATGGGAGCAATTTCCCCCATGCTGGTGAGAGAGTTCTCACAAGAGTTTATGCTTTAAGTGTGGCACATCTCCTCCTCCCACTCTCTCTCTCTGTCTCTCTGTCTCTCTTCTCTGCTGCCATGTAAGACGTGCCTTGCTTCCCCTTCACCTTCTACCATGATTGTGAGTTTCCTGAGGCCTCCCCAGCCATGTGGAACTGTGAGTCAATTAAACCTCCTTTCTTTATAAATTACCCAGTCTTGGGTAGTATCTTTATAACAGTGTCAGAACGGCTAGTACATTATGATAGATTGCAGGTCAAGAATAGTTTGAAAGACATTTTTTTAAAAAACTTTTTAAAAATAACCTTTTTAACTTGAAACAAAAATTAGTGTGTTTACTGGTGTTTTTCTCTGAAGCTTCCCTAAACTAACTAAAAAAACTCCCACAAAGTACCTTAGAATTTCCTGGCTTTAAGAGTATACAGACCTGCAGGTGAAGAAGAAACAGTACAGCAGAAAAAATAAACTATCTTTATCCATTTTCTTTTCTCCTGAGTACAGCTGATAGGAATTGTAGGGATCCATTAAGTAAACATCAAATTTTGAATTTGAGCCACTTTTAAATGTTACACTGAAAGGAGAATTGTTTAGAGGAAACCTTTAGAAAGGAAACTTGGACTCTATACTAATTTTAGGTAAAACATCAAAGTCTCATACTCCAAAGAACCTACAGAGTTTTTGCTTGTTTAGTTTTATTTCTATTTTATTTTATTTTTAAAACACACCTGAAATATTTTTCTCCATACAAATGAAGACTGTTTCTGTAGATCGCCAAGTGGAGGTCACACTCCTGGAGCTGAGTCCCAAACAGAAGACACTGAGGTGTTTGCATTCTGTAGGCAGAAACTGAGGACCAGACACAAGACGCTGCTGGCCTTAACCCATGATGCTGTCTCCTAGAAGTGTAAGTGGAGAGTCCTGCCAATAACCCCTCCTTTCTCTCCTTGTCCTGTATTCCTGCCATTCCATTGCTAGCTGGTAACAGAACAACATGGAGAGGCCAAATGTAGAATGGTCACCTTCCTATCAGCATCTTAGCAGACATGTAGAATGATCACCTTCCTATCAGCATCTTAGCTTATCACCCAAGCTAACTTAAAGGGACTGGGGTGGGAAGAGAGGTGGGGCAGGTACAAACCAGAGAAGAGCCAAAGACAAAGCCAGGTTCTAACACTGGGGCAGGCGGAGCCTGCGGGAGAGGGCGTTCCGTCTTTGAAAGCACTTCTTTTTTACCCACCTTCCTTACTCACCTCATAGTCTTGCTACACATTGCTTTCTCTAATAGCTCTTTATTGTGGTGTTAGAACCTCTATATAAATGTACTGCCTTTAAAATTGTTGAAAAGGCACCACTTTTGGAGATCATGTTCCTGAGGTGCATTTGCTCCTCCTGCCTCTCATCCCTCACTGTGCTTTTAAACAGAGCTTGGACAAGACAAGGACTAGGAACAAAGCCAGCTCTAGGAGTGACCTAGAGCTCTGGAGAAGAAGAGGAGCTTTAAGAAGAGGAGGTAAGTTGGCAATGACCGCTCTTTAGGATCAATATGTAGAACCCAGTTAATAGTGGAATGCAATCTGTTCCTCACGTATCTCCCCCAGAAGCATGCAAATGCGTGCTTCCAAAAACTGAAGTAGGGTGACAGGGTGGAAGGGAACAAAATATGTGACCATACTCAGAATCCAAAGATCTGGGTTTAAAACCCAATTTGACTGCCTTCCAGCTATCATTTGCAGCAACATTGATAGAGAGTCTAAGAGGTACCGTGCTACTTTCCATATAAGATTCGTGTTCTCACAAGATATGCGATTTGGAGGGACAATCTTAATTCTCTCTCTGTAATCACTAGGGGTGAGGGAAAGGCAGCTCTTGTTTACTGAGAACCTTGCATGTGCCAGGCACTGTGTCAAGCACTTTAATGCAGACCAATTCTTTCAACAACCTCAGAAGGTATTACTAACTCCCTGTCTTTGGATTAAGAAACAGACTCAAAGTGAGTAAGTTTCTCTTTCAAAGTCACTAAACAAATGAGTAACAAGACCAAGATGTTGAGCTAGGTCTGTTTGGCTCCAGAGTCAAGCAACTTCTTTCAGAATGGTCATGATGATTATTGCAGTACCTAGTGCACAGAAGACATGTCATCAATGTTTGTTAAACAATTTCTTAAAAAGCTGCTTAGTGTTTATATAATCATTTTTTTTAAACTAATGACTTTTGCTGATGTTTGCAATCTACATTCCATTGGTGGCCAGTTTTTTGATATTTATTTGTGTATATAGATGCATTAGGGAAGGAGGAGAAGGAGCCCCAAACTATACCAGATGGACCAATCTGAGTACACAGGCCTTCGGCCAGAGAGCAGGGACTCAGAGTGAGGGATTTGCTAAGGCCACATTACATTTTAGGTGGGAAATGTGCACAATGATACACTAAAAACTCAATTTAGCTCAAAACATGTATCATAAAAAAATTAATAGACATAATGTACTGAGTAGTTGTGATGTTTCAGGAAATTTATCAGGAATTTTCTTATCTTAGTTCAACACAATTTAATAAGATGGGAGCTATTATATTGATTCTATATCATGGCGCATGAGAAGCACCTGATGCCAGGTCACACAGGTGATAAATAGCAGATCACATTTTAAAACACCCTCTGCCTGACTCCAGAGTCCAGGCTCCTCGTGACTTCAGAATATCTTTTGTTAGTCATCATAATTTATTTTATCCTCTTATTAAAAACAAAAAACAAGAATGCGATTTTTTTGAAAAAATGGAGAGATATTTTTAGGCAAGTTAGGCTGCACATTTCTTATACACAAAGGCTGTATTTTGCATGTTTAAATCTTTATATACTGCCCAGTGAACATAAAGGGACCCCATAAATATTTGCTAAATGGATTATTTCTGTAATAAATATAAATTTTCAGCTTCAGTCTTCATTAACTTGGAGGGTTACTCAAAGGTGAATCACATGTAATGGAATTACTTATTTTCTGCAGGAACCCAGGCCAAATATTTGGTCTCAGTAATAAAAAACAGGCAAATTTAATTGCCCTGGGCACAATGCCGCATATTGACAGCAACTCTAGACTGGCTATATCTTTTCATTATGATGCTCACTGTATTTCTGTCAGAAAAGATTAAGGTGCTTTGTGTATCAGCTTTTCCTCTAGGCTTTAAATATAGTCACTGTAATCCAATTCAGATTCTTTGTCATCAGAAGTTCTTACAGAAAGACATAAGACCAGTTAAGATGGAGGCCAGTTGGTCCAGTGATTTTTTTAATGATATTTATGATTTCCCGTGGATAGACTACTGCCTAGGGTATAAGAGATGCTTCATAAAGGCAAGTGCCAGGAAGTAGAAAATGTAGAGTTCAGTGTCTAGCAGTACCTGGTGCAAGGCAGTCATTCAGTAAATGTTTACAAGCCGTTCTACATATTTGCAATTCTAACCAAAATGAACTGTTCAAAGTCGGTCGGCATGTGGTTTTGGTCTGAATGCTTCACCTACATTTCTACTTGACTTAAAGGAAATCCAGGTGATCTCTGTACTAAGTATGCACAAAACCTCTTTACAAGATAATACCTCATCATTCTGAGCTGAGCACTGAACCTTTTGGGAGAAATCTTAAGGTCACACTCCATTAGCAATAGATTGCAAAAGGGTCTGATATAAATGACAACTTGAAATTCAGATTTGATACAAAAAAATTCATGCTGAGACACTAAAATTGAGATTTCTAGAGGGTAATTATGAACTTCAAGGGGCTAAAAATGACTTTAAAAGAGAAATATTTATTCTTTTGGTGACATAGAAGAAAATGTTAAAGAAGATGGTCATGAAATAGGTTTGCTACAAAAGGACTTGGTGTTTGCTGTGCCAATATTAATGTAATGATGCAGTTGAATATAATTGGGAAGAATTTTAAGCAGGTGGTCAACTTCTGTTAAGCTATAAGAACTGTACAAAGATCCATGGGGAGCAGACACAGTTGTAAAGTATGAGCTTTGAGATTGGAAACTTCTTCCTAAGACAAGTTCCTAGGACTACTTCCTAGGACAAGTTTATTGACTTCTCTGAGTCTCAGTTTTCTCAGCTATCTATCATAAAAGGTTTTTGTAAGGTTTAAATAAGTATAAAAACCCAGTACGACACCTAAAATATATTGTACATCACTTTATGCAGATTTTTCTTGCTTTTCTTGGAATTTTGATAGTTATAAAACAACCAGAAATCAGCTCTTTTAACAGATCACATAAAAGACACTAAATGACACTTACAGGAGCCTCATAACTCTATTCCTTTAGAAATAAAATATGACATCAAAATTTGAAAATCATCAAAATTTGAAAATAATCAAAATTTCAAAACCTCAAGCTTTTCTTTGTTAGAGCAATAATAACAAAACCAAACTCAGTCTCAAGAGATGTCATTGACTAACATCTATCATAAAATATAAGTGGGGATTAAAACACTCACAACAAGAAGTATAACTCTTTCATGCAGCAGGAAAATACAGCATTGATGAAGCCTTCTCTTTGTGCAGGTCTGTTACAAACTTCAATTGATCAGTTGGTCTTTCCATTGTGATCTGAAAGTAGGTCAGTGCTCCTTCTACTTGGGTTAGAGATATCACAGAATTTGGAGTTTCCTGCCTAGCCTATTTGGGAGACACACAAGTTTTGCATGAAGGAGAATACTTTAAACACTAGGTAAATTAATTTGACCTGTTCCCTTAGAACCTTGATCTGTAAAAAGGTTACTTTCTTTTTCTCTCCTCCATTTTCTCACACTACAGTCATTTATTTTCTTCACATCCTTCCATCTCCAGTCCCTCCCTGGCCTGACAATGACTTGTAGAAAGCATTTAAATTAATGGTCCTTCTCAGATAGACTTTTTAGGCATAAACAGAAAAATTCAATTGAATTGTAATTCATCAAACCAAATGAGGTTTAAAAAACCCTCCATTTTCCACAAGAAAATGAATTCAAAAGAAAATATACTGGATAATACCAGAAATGCTTTTCTATATGCCCTTTCCTTTTCATATTTCATTCAGGGAATAGGGGGCCAGTCCTTTGGTAAAATCTATAAATTCTTACTACATGTATCATTTAATCGTTCAAGTTAAATTATTCAAAGATCAATTTAAAAAGGAAGCTGGTGGACATGTGCAGTGGCTCACACCTGTAATTCCACCACTTTGGGAGGCTGAGGCAGGCGGGTCACCTGAGGTCAGGAGTTCGAGAACAGTTTGGCCAAAACGGTGAAATCCCATCTCCACTAAAAATAGAAAATTAGCCTGGAGTAGGGCGCATGCCTGTAATCCCAGCTACTCAGGATGCTGAGGCAGGAGAATAGCTTGAAACTGGGAGACAGAGGTTGCAGTGAGCCAAGTTCATAGCATTGCACTCCAGCCTGGGCAACAAGAGCAAAATTCCGTTTCGGAAAAAAACAAAACAAAACAAAACAAAAAAGGCCGGGGGCAGAGGCTCCTGCCTGTAATCCCAGTGTTTTAGGAGACCGAGGTGGGTGGATCACCTGAGGTCAGGAGTTCGAGACCAGCCTGACCAACATGGAGAAACCCCGTCTCTACTAAAAAAATACAAAATTAGCCGGGCGTGGTGGCACATGCCTGTAATCCCAGCTACTTGGGAGGCTGAGGCAGGAGAATCACTTGAACCCGGGAGCCGGAGGTTGTGGTGAGCTGAGATCACGCCACTGCACTCCAGCCTGGGTGACAAGAGCTAAACTCCATCTCAAAAAAAAAAAAAAAAAAAAAAAAAAAGACAGCTGGAACATAGCCCCTATTAGAATTCTTCTGTTTAATTCTAACCTACCATGTGGAGGCAGAGAGGTAGATAAAGTAGGAGATTACATGGTACTGCCCTTTCTATACACCACAGGCTATTAGCCAACTTTATTGAATAAGGATCTATGAAGTCTACTTCTAAAAAGGGATATAAATGGTTTAAAAAGTTAAAAATTATGTATGTAAATATGAAATTATTTTTGAAAAAATCAGCCATCAGATAAACACACATAGAAATAAAAAGTTTTAAAGGAAAATTAATATGCAGTATATGCTCTAAATTCTTTGGAGAGGCCTTAAAGGCTACCACGATGCATGTAGAGTGATCCTGTTTGCAAGATTTATAATAATAATGACCATCAATATATTTATTCATCTGTCCTCCATCCATCCATCCTTTGGCTATAAATCACAATAGGTAACATAAATTCACTGTCATGAAATTCATCCTGTTGGATCACTTAAATCCATCAAGTTACAGTGAACACCTGCTCTCCCTTAGTCTTTCCTCAAGTCAACTCTCTTGGAAAATTAACCCTTGGCAGGCTTGCAGATTTATTAAGCCATCCCTTCAGAATTTTAGAGTAAACAGTCATGTCATTATTCTCTGTCTTTACTTACAGATCTTCTATTTCAAACATTTAAATACATATTTGTTGCTCTACTAATGATTCTCAGATCCTAGGTCCTCATATTCAACTGGCAAGATTAGAATGATAATTTTTCTCATCACTGGTATTTTCTTCACCAATTATCCAGTATAGGGCAGGGATATGACTCTAGCATTTCTTTCAATGCTTAGAGTCATCCAAGCTCTGGAGCATTTGGCATCACTATCAGAAGATATCTTCATCTTCTCAATCAGTGGTCAGTAGAAAAGGAACCTGTTGAGCATCTATCATGTGCCAGAGACTTTTCTAACTAGAGATACAACATCTAATATTACCCTCTAATTATGTGCAATCAGAGACCAGTTACTAAAAGCCTGAAGCACTCTTTCCATTAGGTCACTGTTACCCACTTTAGTCATCTACTTATCAAAGGTGCGTATATGCATTATTGCGTGGTGTTTGAGGTGAAGAGTGACATGAAGATGAGGTTGCCAGGAGCCAATCATGCAAGTTTTAGAAAGTCAGGTTAAAGACCTTAGATTTTAGGCTGGGTGAGGTGGCTCACGCCTGTAATCCCAGCACTTTGGGAGACTGAGGTGGGCACATCACTTGAGCTCATGAGTTGGAGACCAGCCTGGCCAACATGGCAAAACCCCATTTCTACTAAAAATACAAAAAATAGCTGGGCATAGTGGTATGCGCCTGTAACCCCAACTACTTGGGAGGCTGAGGTGGGAGTATTCCTTGAGCCCAAGAAGCAGAGGCTGCAGTGAGTTGAGATTGCACCACTGCACTCCCTCGTGGACGACAGAGTGAGACTCTGACTCAGAAACAAAACAAAACACAAAAAAACTTAAGTTCTAAGTGGAATGGGCAGTCGTTGAAAGTACTAGAGAGGTAGACAAAGTAGAAGGACAAGAAAGTGACATCCTCTGATTTTTTTCCCTATCAGCAATGTCTATTACCTAGTGCCAGAAAACTTCAGGGAAATAGTAATTAATTTCTATAATACTTACTATGATAAGCTAAACAAATAGAGTGTTTTCTACAACACCAAAAGACAAAATTATATTGAGTATTGTTTTAGTGTTAAAAGTACTATGCTGTATACTTGTTTAAAAGCTAGCATTTAAATTATGATCTATATCTGAGTTATGAAATGCAAACTCTCCCTAACTAGAATATTTAATTTACCAGAACAGCTGAATACCTGAACAGTTTTTAACTCTTAAAAATTTTCTAGTTTTGACAGTAATAAGCCAAGTCTGAGTTTTTAGCACTTCAGAGTTTTCCAGTTGCTACAATATGTAAATATACCAATGTTGACAATCTTAATTGGGATTTAAACTAATTTAGAGACTTCTTTTTAAACCTCCGTAATTCCTGAACTCAAATCCTCACAGAGTTTTGTTACATTGCCAGTCAGACATGACATCAGATTTTAGCTTTACCACTAACTGTGTAATATCAAAAAAAATCATTTAATCTCTCAAGAATTCACATTCTATGCCTTCTTCACATGATTATTGTATTAAATGAGAAAATGGGTTTGGATATATACATCAAGTGCTACCCAAGCAAAAATTAATATCATTTATTGATATAATTATTATTACCATTTTAGTTGAGAGTTGAGAAATAGTAAACTGTCATAGTATACATCATATAAAAGTAAAGAGTCCAACCCATTTCAAATGGTAAGGTCTTTCTCTTCCTTTGTTAATACAGAAAGGGGAGGAAAATCCACATCTCTTCACAAACCATCCAACAGTATGCTTTCCGATTCCTTCTGTTATAGTTTGGATGTTTGTCTTCCACATCTCATGTTGACATTTGATCCCTGATGTTGGAAGTGGTGCCAGTGGAAAGTGTTTGGGTCATGGGTGAGGATCCCTCATGAATGATTTGGTGTCATTCTCAAAGCGGTGGATGAGTTTTCACTCTGTTAATTTCTATGAGAGCTGGTTGTTAAAAAGAACCTGGCACCTCCTCCCCTCCTCTCTCTTGCTTTCTCTCACCATGTGACCTCTGCACACACTGGCTTCATTTCATCTTCTGCCAGGAGTGGAAGCAGCCTGAGGTCCTCACTGGAAGCTGGTGCCGTGCTTCTTGTGCAGCCTGCAGAACCGAAAGCCAAATAAACCTTCTCTTTCTAAACTACCCAGTCTCAGGTATTTCCTTATAGCAACACAAGTGGACTAGGACAACTTCTGTTGAATAATACTGACTCTAAGATTCTGTAACATTTAATTTTCAGTAATCTATCAAGACAATCTAGTGTTCACATGAGGCATGTATAAACTAAAGCTGAATCTGTCATCTTCCTCCCCAGCCAGTTCTTTTGCCAGCGTTCCCTCTCCAAGTAAACTGGTGCCAACATCCTCCGAGATGCTCCATCCAGAAACCTAAGAAGTATCTTTGATTCTTTCTTTTCACAGCCAAACCATCAGAGAGTGCTGTTAGGTCTCTTTCTTGTGTCCATCCGATCTGTTCACATAGACTTCTCCCATCGCATGAAGCTATCACCTTTGAGATATGGCCTCCAAGATTGCCACGGAAAAGGAAGAGAATGTGAAGAAGTCACCTCAGATACTTTACCACTTCAGCCAGGAAGAGACAGAATTGTGCTATATACTGTTGGCCAGCAAGAGTTTGGCTTATGGACCATGTGGCCTCACCTACATGGGAGACACTGGAAACAAAGTCCCTGGCTGTGAAGCCACTCCCCAGCAACAGCTCTGCACTACACAGAAGAGAAGCTTGGCTCTTTGGAAGTCAACTAGCTGTTGTTTTTAAACCCCGTTATCCCTTCTCTGCAACCCTGAGCTCTACTCCCACATAATTAACTGGTTCTGCCATTTGCTACTTATGTTACTATGAATAAACTTATACTTCTCTCAGCCTCAGTATTCATATCCACAAAATGGATCTTATCTCACAGGTTAGCTATGAAGACTAAATAAATCATGCATTCAGAAACTTAGCAAAATCAATCACTTATCACATTAAATATTTTGGTTTTTTAATTTTTATTTTTTATTCCCATAGGTTTTTGGGGAACAGGTGGTGTTTGATTACATGAATAAATTCTTTAGTGTTGATTTCTTAGATTTTGGTGCATCCATCACCTGAGTAGTATACACTGTACCCAGTTTGTAGTCCTTTATCCCTCACCCCCCTCCCACCCTTTCCCACCGAGTTTCCAAAGTCCATTGCATCATTCTTACGACTTTGCATCCTTGTAGCTTAGCTCCCACTTATGAGTGAGAGCATACAATGTTTGATTTTCCATTCCTGAGTTACTTTACTTAGAATAATGGTCTCCAATTCCATCCAGGTAACTGCAAATGCCATTATTTAATTCTTTTTCATGCAATAAATATTTTTGAGAAATTGAATATGAATGTGAAATTTGACCCCAGGATAATCCTTAAAATCGATGGAATTAAAAAAAAAAAATCTATACTATGACTTACTGAATTCCTTTTTTCCCCTAAAGCTGATGGTTGAAGAAGACTTTAAAGTGTTTTGTTTCCTTCTCTTTCCTGCTAAAATCCTAATTTAAGCAAAAAGTTCCTGTTCTTGTATGGTGACTTTTAATCAGTTTCCACTGAAGGATTAGAAAGGGGCAATGATAAGACACAACTAATGGGTAGCTAAATTACATAACATCAGGTAAGAGATCAATGTCTGGTTCGGTAAGATGAGCAAAACTGAACTCCAGGGAAATTCAAACAACAGGCCCACAGCCACACAGAAAATTTTAGGGGAGCCTGGTCTCAAACTTTCATCCCTTTACTTCAGTTTGGTATGCTTTACCAACTTGCTTCATTAAATATGAGAGGTATATATGTGTAATAAGTAACTATATATAATCACATAGAAAAACAAATGTTGATATCTTTACCTAGAGAGAACACAAACTCATACCTAGTTTCTGTGGTACTCCAGCATATAGAGTAGCTTTAGTTTTTCTGAGTATGGTTTTTGTATCTACTTCTACACTAAATATATCTAATTATTTTCTAAATGTCTAGAACAGTGTGGTGAACCCTATTTGGCTGAATAGCATTACCTGAAAATCTGACTCACATTTCCAGTGACGCTAATAACTTTTTAGCTGAAATTTGGCTCAGCGTTTTGATTAAATTTTCTGTTAAGTGCTCTAAAAAGACTTTGAACTGACGAGATTGTAACTTCAAAGGCAGAAGGAAAGTAAAGGGTGACTTTAATAATGATGAAAAAAAAGCCCAGAATAAGATATCATTAGAAATGGGATCTCCAGAAAAGCCAAGATCCAAATGCCAAATCTGAATGAAGTTAATTGTGTGGTGCTCTCCACAAATGTATTTTGTTTTTTCTAAAATAGTCACATTTACAAGATAAATTATATGCTGAATTCAAAAGTTTGCTAGCATCCTAGTCAGGTTGGCCCAGATATTTCTCCTCTGAAACTCAGTTGAAACCAGAGGCTAGCTCTAGTCTCTTCTGTTGAGTTGCTAGTCATCTAAATACATCCATGCATCTTGTTCAGTTCTCCCATTTGGCTTAACTAGTGCAAACCTCTGTGATTTCGCAGAATTCAATCTGTTATGAAGTCACCAGAACACAGAACTCCTTACTTGGTGTGGCATTAGGACCTGGTCTGATGTATTTCTCCAGTTTTATCTGTCACAGTAACTCTAAGCACTCCACTCTGAAACCAAACAAAAATTCTTTCTATTCCCTAAACAAGTCTGCACATTTGTGCTCTACATATTTGCTTCTGTTTGGATGACTCTCTCTTTGGATGACTTTGTCTTCAAACTATGGCCACAGAAACCTTCCCCTTCCCAAGCTGGCTCAGAAATGGCCCACTATACCTGCCGGAAGTTGGATTTCAAAATGGATATTTTTCCCTTTCTTCCAAATTTCACTTAAGACTTCATTATAAAACTTCTCAAATTTTGCCTCATATTACAGTTTACATTGTCTTTGTTCTTTTAGATTTTAAGCCAATTGAAGGCATTCGTTTTATCTCATTCATCTTGTGCCCATTGGTGATCCTAGTTCAGTGTCCTGACTGCAGATGGAACATTCACCATACTGAGAAGAGGGCTCCAAGCCAAGCAAAGGCTCAAGTGTCAAAAGTGACCTTCATCCCTGTGGGATATAAGTGACCTTCATCCCTGTGGGATATAAGTGACCAAACCAGGAGCTTTTAAATTAAGACTTCCTCCATTACTGAGAAAAAAAACCTCGACTAAATACTTACTTGCTAATCTACACTTGTAAAAGAGCATGTATCATACATACAGCAAACACCCTAAAAATACAGCAAAGTAAATGAAGAAGCAGAAGGAAAGGTGAGATAAGGCATGGCGAGTCCATACAACACTGAAGAGACCCTCACACTCTCACTCAGTGCCTCCTCCCGTTTTAAGGTCAGCGAAAATCTTGTTAATCTCTTTTCCAGACTAGAAAAACAGCAGAAAATCAGAATGAGCCAAGGGGGCAAAGTTAAACATAAGTATTAATGGGAGCTGCCAGAGGGGAAATGAAACATCATATACTTCAGAAAACCAGAGAGCTTTTATCTTTAGGCCAGCAGCCCGAAGCAGAACAACAGTGTCTGGTAGCTCTGCTGAATTATAGCACAGTGTGTTAATTGATATTCTAAACAATGATCAATGTAAAAAGCGCTTTTAAAATGGTTTAAAATAGTTACAAAAATGTAACTTTTCATCATCAAAATATAGGTCAAATTATGTGTAATTATTTTTGCTTAAGAAATGTATTAGCAAGAATATATATACACATATTACAGATTAGAAATATTATCATCAGATATGAGGTTTTAAAAGGATACATCTTAATCTCCCAGAAAATAAGATTCTGTGAAATAAGAAGAGCTAGCTGTAAGCTAGCATTTATTAAATGCCTGCCATGTACTTTTCATGCATTATCACATGAAACTCACAGTACTACACTGTGAAGTGGGTGTAATCATCTCCACTTTGCAGATGAGGAAGACCTCTCTGAGAAGTCCTGCAATTTGCCAACATGGCATGGATAGATAGTGATGAGCCTGGGTCACATTTGGACTCTTGGAAACCCAAGGCCAGTATTCTTGCCCCATTTTCACGCTGTCTGGATGGGTGGATGAGGAGTGGGCATCTGGGGTACACAATGCCTTGACCATGTACACGCTGAACTCAGCTCACAAGATCTTTGGTGATCCCCGCATGCTTCCCCTATTCTCCTCTCCCAGCACTCCTGGGAACATCTGCTCTATCTGGTCTGTTCTGTCTGATCTACTCAGTTTTCTTGCTAGTGTTGTTATAGAGAAAGAAATTTAAATGAAGAGAGAAAATAAAAAGCAATAGAAAGAACTGTCAGTGATGGCAAATGGGAACCAAATATCCCCTTTCCACCAAGTGCTAACTTTTTAAGTAGGCTTCACCTCTAAAGCATATGAAGAGGCCAGTTGTCAGGCATCTTTGTGGAGGGTGTCCCCTGGTGGTGATGGTGTAGGGGGGTGGGGCATTACTCTAGACCTTTCGGAGAATCCCCTGTCACAGAATATATCCAGCCAGAGGGCAAGGGGAAAAGCAGTACTGTTTCTATCTCTGAATTGTCAGTTTTTATTTTAGTGACAGAGTGACAAAGATGACTTCTGGTTTTTCACTTCAAATACTTTCAGCCATCAATTTCCAGCCAAACCCACTCCACCGCTATGGTGCATCCTCTGTCATTCAGCTAGTGGCCAATGGTGGGCCACATCTGACATAGCTTGCTGTTCATGTCTGCCTGAGACCACACCCCAGTGTCTAGCAGGTTTTATTTATAAATAATGCATATGCAAGGATACTGGGCTACCTGAACACTGTGGGTGATAAAACTCCAAGTCCTGGTTCCTTGTCCTCGAGGCACTTTTCATTTGAGATAACTAAACAGTGTTTCGTTTTTGAAATATGAGAGAGTGAGGAAAAGTTTATGGTTAGGAGAAGAGTACTATAAACTCAAGCATGTTTCATCAGCAATTAAGAAACAACTTGGAATGCCTGCTCGAATTCTGTTATTGAGAATCAAATGTAGTAAAATTCCTTTTACAACGTAGTACAGTTCACAGAAACAGTGCATGGCTCCAATCCCTTTTTCATCAGGGTATGTCTTTTAAGATTCTAGGAAAAACATATTCATGAACATGGTATGATAAGTCTTACACCATATAGCAGTGACTCTTAATCTCTTTTTGGTCACAAACTCCAGTGAGAATCTAATAAAAGCTATAAATCCTCTCATAAAATACAGGCAAGAACATATCTACTAATCCGTGTATAACATTCCTGGGAGTTTACAGGCTGCCTAAATGTATCCACAAACCCCAACTTAAGTCCCTCACTCTGTAGGAACTCAATATATATAGTTTTTGCATTAATGTGTAAAAACAGTGAATGATAAATTATCTTGGCAGAGACAACCCAGCTATGCTGAGCATTATGATGACTCTTCGTCAGATACTAAATGAGCTGCTTAACACCTTGGAAGGAATCAGAGCCTGAGTCAGGCTTAGAATACACAGTATCTGTTTCTGGACTCATGATGATGGATGCTGTAAATTACAGTCAATCAGCCAAGCCCTCTGTCATGTCTCCCTCATGGAACCTTCTTATTTTTCCTCTGGCTGGTCTAGTCATCCATCTGTTCCTATTACACAGCCACCGTGCTTTTGCTGGACCTGCAGCTTTCAAAGCTGAATAGAAGGAGAAAAAAACCCAAACCAGTTATTTCAGAAGCAGAAATAGAAATAAAGAGCTTGGTCATTACCAATGATGATAAAGGAAGAAACAGACATAGTTCCTACTGTGTGCTAATTATTTAATACAATGCTAAACCCTTTCACATACCTTGTCTTGTTTAATCCTTAAATCAATCCTGATGGATAGGTATTATCCATGCGCTTTTTACATGTGGGTAGCCAGAGGTTCTGAGAGATTAACTGACTCATGTAAGACCCCGTGGTGAATAAATGGCACTAAGATTTAAACATATTTGAGCTTGACTACAGGCCTAGTATTTTTTCCTACTACATAATGCCTATTTTTAAAAAATCTGGGACTTAAGTTCATGCTTCCTATATTTTGAAATTATCTATGTCTAAGACACCTCAGATCTTCCCCAGATGAAAAGATGTGCATGGAGGGAGAAAAAAGGTGACTTGTACCTTCTAGAATACTCAGGTGAATTCCAACATCGAGGTTAGGTGGTCTTGGCTGAACCGCGAAGCAATCGAAACTTTACCTGGAAAACTGGGCCTCAGTCCGGGAGCGTTCAGACTCACACTGCCTTTTCTCTCAAGACACGGCTAATTGAACCACAGACATAATCAGTGGTATTGAGCAATAATGCTAAAACGTTGTATCCTCTTTCCATTCACCCTCAGACACCAAATTAGCCTTCACCTACATGTCCTTCTGGATCAAAAATAAAAACCTTGATGAACGGTCATGACAAAAATACCAGCTTGTTTTGGGCTATAAAGGGGTTGTGAGTCATTGTTTGGGCTGTGTTTGTTAAGGGCTCTGAGACACACTAGATAGCGCAGTAGTTTTGTGACATCCAGACTGCCTCCTCTCATACACCTTTAAAACACAGTTTGATATAATGACTGAGGCATCAATCCCCTTAATTCAAGTATCCAGGTTAAAAACAAAGCCACATCACAATTCTTTAGGAAGATGACTTGGGGGTGTCACATCTCTCTTTTCTGCCTTGACAACTCCCCCTTTATAATTTTTTAAATTTCTCTACCCCTTAAGGGAGGTACCTGGGGTAAGGTAAGGGGCTTTATCTGGGAATTACTGCCATAGAGCAATTGGCTGGTCAGATGAAAAGCCTTTAATGTCTACTCAGAGGATGTCTCCCAAAGTCATACACAGAAGGATGAAATGGATGCTGTGTATGAATAACTAAAAATATTTGCTATTTGTAAATAACACTAAATAAGAAGAAGACAGTGACAGGAGATGGGGCTAAAGGGTCAGGTCATGGGGGTCCCTTTGTTCCATGGAAGTGGCTTGGACTTCATGTTGAAAGCCCCTGGGAAGCAAATGTAATGTTAGTGAAACATTTATGGGGTTAGATTTGTACATAGCAGGGAAGATGAAGTGAAGAGCAAAGACTAGACATAAGGAGACCAGTTTAGAGAACATGGTGACTATTTAGTCAAAATATATGATGGGAGCCCTAAAAGAGGACAGTGCTATAGAAATGGAGAAGTAGAAAAATAGTGGATTAAAGAATTATTTAGGAGATAAAGTAGGAAAAACTAAGTGAATGATTGGATGTTGGCTTGAGGGAGCGGAAAGAACTCAAAATGATTCACAGTCAGAAGTAAGGGGCTACAGGTTGACCAGAGAAGACTGAGATGTCTCAGACTGTACAAACAACCAGTTAACCCACTGCTGATCCAATTCAGTAACTCACATTTTTACAAAGTGGTGATAGTTTGTGAATTGGATATTCATTACATCACATACTTCATCATCCCAACCATCCTATGAGATAAGCATTATTTTGTCTATTTACCATTGGATGAGAAAATGGGTTGAGAGAAAGTTAAACGGACTTGGTCAAGGTCACATAACAAAGCAATGGTAGAGTGAGGGTTCAGATTGAAGTTTACACAGCTTAATGTAGAAAACGACTTTTAAAAAATTTAAACCATATAAATTGTCCATTTTGACTCTTTTGGTATTTTCACGTTATTTGACTTGGTAGTATGCTATGTTGTTTCTCTGTGGAGGAATCTCATTGTCTGAGACGACCATGATGGAAATGCTTTTTCATTCATTATTTCGGCATCTTCCTTTTGCTGGTGCATTCTAGTGGTTTCTTGCATGGAATATTTTGCTACATTATGAGACGAAACTCAGAACTCTGGTAATAAACCCAAGGGATGAGAAATTAAGTAACTTCTTTTATCGGTAGAAACATGTCCCTCCCTCCCCAGCACTTTTTCTTCTTAAACATCTCATCATATTTAGCATATCTTAGAGATATTTTTCCAGAGACAGATCCTACCTATTTCACCAGGTTACCATGAAAGTGAAATAAGCTAACACATATAACGGGGATTCATAAACTATAATGTGCTGCCCAACACATATTTCTGTGTTGTTATTCTCTGATCAATTATGGAATAAAAGGAAAGAAGACAAAACACTGTAGTCCATATCCTCTGGACTCTTTTCCGATTCTTAGTATATTCCCTCCACTAACACATTCCAAAGTTCATCTGAAGTTGATAAAGCAGCTAGGTGTTGATTATATCTAGCTATTTAAAATGAAAACAAAATACTCCATAGCAACTTTTGTTATTAAGATATTGGGGGAAAGTTGGAAAGTAATTGTTTAGACATAGATCTATCAAAGATAATAATCTTAACCACACTTAGATTGGTCTCTTTTTCTAACTAATTTATTCTTCCATTCTAGACCTTGCTTTAATCATTTTGCTTAAAAAAATTAGGCTTTCTACCCTGAGAATTTATATTAAGCTTTTAATCAAGCATCTCTCAATGTGTTTCATAGCTCTTAATGTGTTTCCAGTACAGTGTGTGGTCTGTGTGATCGGTTCTAGATTTATATTTCTGATGCTGTATCAGAAGCAATACAAGTGAATATTCTAATTCTAGTCCTTTAGTTTCAGTTAAAAAATTCTTTAATTCTTTATAATATATGAAACCATTGAGAAAGCATTGTTTGCTCATTTTTAAAATGAAAATTTAACTTTGTGGATCACTAACATAGATACTGTCCAAATTCTGTCACTCAGAAAGTATGGGATTTGATATATAATTCTTACATAGGATGTGATTTCTATATAACCCTAGTACACATCTAATGCTTATTAAATAAAAATCTCTACTTGATAAGCACCATGAAAGAACTGAAATAAGTTTTTTTCCATAAATAGCCTGAGAAACTGTTAATACCTTGTCCTCAAAAACTGAACATTCTATTTCTTTCTCTTTCTCCAAGACAAATGCTTGTCAAAAAGCATTAGCTTAACATTTATCATCTATTTTAGGACTGATTCATTTAGGCTTCACCTACTTGCAGGATGTATAAGGTGAACTTTCTTATATCTTTCTTCTAATATATATTTGAAAGGCAGAGAAAACAAGAACAAAAACAAACCCCATTGTTTCCCACAGGTAATAACTAGAGCACAGAATGTTATTTTCTTTCAGAGAGGCCAAAGTTTTAATTGAGGGCTTAATTTCCTAACATTTCTAAAAATTTATGTAAAATATTCTTCCTAAGTTCTAGGAAATTTCTGGTATTGCCATGAGCTAAATGTGCAAACTTACTACAAGAAAAGAATCTCTCTTTTTAGACATCTAGTTATTATTAGTAATTTTCGAGGTGAGCCAGGAGAGAGCATTAGATATATCTTTACGTTAGTATCTTGCACCTGTAGGGCTTTTGACTGTTTTGGGGCTTTTACATACAGTATTTCTTTTTATTTATTTATTTATTTATTTATTATTATACTTTAAGTTCTAGGGTACATGTGCACAACGTGCAGGTTTGTTACATATGTATACATGTGCCATGTTGGTGTGCTGCAACCATTAACTCGTCATACATCCAGTATTTCATTTGTTCTCCATAACAATCATGGCAGGGAGGCAGATCTTACCACCATTCTCTAGAAGAAGTTCCCGGGGTTCAGAAAGCCCAAATCAGAAATTACCCATCATGGTCACATGTGGATCATGCAGGGAGCTTTTAAAATGTTCATATTTCCATCATAATTCTTGGATTGAGGCCCAGGAATTTATACATTAAAAAGGTCTCCAGGCGATTCTAAGGCAACTGCTCCATGGCTCAGTATTTGGGAAGCTCAGGTCACATGGGTCGAGTTTCAGGTCTCTCAAATCCTATGACAAGGTTCTTTCTGTCACCCACCCAAACTTTGAATCTTTCAGATCTATTATTTGGACTTCAAATTTGGATCTATTTGGACTTTCAAGCTTTTCTAGTAGAAAATCCCAGGGGTCTGAGAGGCCAATGTTCTGCTTTCTCCAGATCACTGATTCTCAGCTTAATGAAGTCTCCTCTATGTACACCTGATGTTAGCAGCTCCTTGGTCTGTATGTAAAGGAATTAGGCAGATATGTTTGGGACATTGCATCAGAAAGGTGAGGTCTACAGAGAAAGGGATCTATGTACTAATTTAGAGATATTGCTTTACTAATCTGTAATTAGGAAAAGCTTTCTGAATCAGAATGAAAGTTGAACTAAATTAGTATTTTTCAAACTGCAGGCAACAACTCATTAATCAGTCAGGAAATCAATTTACAGGGTCTTGACAAGCATTCTAAAAATGAAATTGAATGCGGTAAAAAAAGTAGGGCTCCTTACATACAGGAAGAATAGGTATTTTAGTTTGTTTCTGCTTTTTTTTGTAAAATACTTCACTTTTGATTTTTATATGTGTATCTGTATTCTGGGTCCAGTGGAACATGTTTTCATTACTGTGGGGGTTAAGTAAATAAATTTTTGAAAACACTGGACTAGATCATTTAGCTTTCTTCTCATTATAGATTGTTAGGATTCTATTCTATTCTTTTCTCTCTCTCTCTCTCTCTCACACACACACACATGCACATACTCAAAAACAAATAACCCCTCCCCAACTCTGACAAAAATAATGGACAGAGAAAACTGTGTAAGTTTTCTGAAGCACTATAAAGGTTGCTTTTAGCAGAATCTTTTTACTTCTTTTGTTTTTGTTTGTTTGTTTGCTTGTTTGTGTTTGGGACGGAGTCTCTCTGTGTCGCCCAGGCTGGAGTGCAGTGGCGCGATCTCGGCTCACTGCAAGCTCCGCCTCCCAGGTTCACGCCATTCTCCTGACTCAGTCTCCCGAGTAGCTGGGACTACAGGCGCCCGCCACCACGCCCAGCTAATTTTTTTTGTATTTTTAGCAGAGACGGGGTTTCACCGTGTTCTCCAGTATGGTCTCGATCTTCTAACCTCTTGATCCGCCCGCCTCGGCCTGCCAAAGTGCTGGGATTACAGGCGTGAGCCACCGCGCCCGGCCTTTACTTCTTTTGAGTAGGACCAGCATGTGTGTACTGGAAAGCGAAGCACTACAATCTGTGTTCATGTGGAGAAGTCGTTTAGACTAGTAGGAAAAGGTTTGAGCACTAAAGCACCACAAATTTTCAAAAACGAGTCTAAATTAGTAAGGTTTCACCATGTAAACAGTGTTTACTAAACACCATCCCAAGAGATCCTTCCTGTTTTTGGTATCTTACCTGTTCCAAGCTACTCTACACACTATTGGTGGAATGAGTTTTCTAGTTTGCAAACCTAATCATGTCATGCCCCTGCCTAAAATCAGCACATTTTCTGGTAAAACCCACAGGCTTGCATGGCTTAGGGGACCACTTATTATCATGACCTAATCTACCCACTGGCTTTACTGGTTGCTCTCTCTCTGACACTTCATAGTCCAGTAACATTCAACCACTTGCATCCTTTCTAATCGCGCACTGTTTCAGCCTCTCGTTTCTGAGCACACTCTTCTCTCTGCTCTGAATTCCCTTTCTCACATGTTCACCCAGCAAAACTCCTACTTGTGCTTCGGGATAAAACATAATCATCGCCTTCTCTATGTACGTTGCCTTGGTAGCATCCTTTAGGTGGAACTCGTTATTCTTTCCTTGCTGCCACCATCAGAGCTTGTAAATGCCTTATTATGACAACTACCACGAGTGTGACTTTTCATTGACATGACTTCCATTTCTAGGAGGGGGGTCTCTGTGCTAGTTCCCCTTTGAATCCCTAGTTTCTAGCAGAATGGTAGAACAAACGAAAGCTATTCAAATTGAAAAAAGATTCGACCTTGGATAAGAATTTTTGTTTAAATGTGAGTCATAATCACACAACTTCGGTAATGAATTTTCTTTAAAAAATTAAATTTCTATAAACCTATTGAAATGAGCCCAAAGGCACAAAGGCTGACTGTTTAACGTGCTGTTCATAAGGCTGCATGTTAAATGCCACTGAACAAAGGCAAAGCAAAAACTCACTGAGCCCGAGAAAGCTGTGTTTTAAATACCCATTACAGTGGAGACCAATGTGTCAAACCTTGTAAAGGTTCTATCAGCATTCATTGGACCTTGGGTTTTAATACTGCCCGCCCCTCTGGGTTACAAAGATGGTATCAGGGATCATTTCTGTGAAGGCTGAAGGGAAAATCTAGACTCTCTTTAGTGTTCAATTGGAGTTCATCAGGTTGAAAATAGATCCCAAGTGTCCAATTCCCTGAAATGCAGGATCAGCCATCTAGCCACAGGAAACCCGAGGAGAGGGTAATATTCTCTGTAAGACCTCACAGCCTCCTCGGTTACAGGAGCCTAAAGTTGTTTTAATATTGTTTTAGCATTTATTCAGACTGAACAAAAATCCTCAGTCATAGTATTTTGTACATTTTCCTCGTATACTCAAAATCAAGTGGGGCAGCTATTAAGGCAGCATAAATACACCCGTAGTTAAATAAGATGTGTAGCATGGAAGTCTATCTTTTCATACTGTACATTCAGACTCAGAAGAGAGAAGGCGTGGGAGGATTTGGAGAGAGAGTACAGCTTTGTAAAAGGGATTCTCCTGGGAGGAGAATCAGGACACCAGGATTTTGTTTGTTTTATTTCTGCCTCTGACTTGCTGTGAATTTTTAGGCATGTCACTTAGCCCCTGTAGCCCCAGTCACCTACCAGTGGTGTAGATTTGGGCAAGTCACTAAAACTCTGTAAATCTCAATTTCTTCAAGTATAAAATTAGGCTGATTATACCTATCTTATGGGATTTTATGAGGAGTAAATGAAATAACATGATGAAATATGCTCCCCTATGCCCTAGGACAGAGGTTCCCAAATTCATTTGATGTTTAAGTAATATTTTCATAAAACAGAAATACCTAACAGTTTCATTCATTAAGTAGTTAGGTTCGAGTAACTTGAGCATTTATGTCCTTAATAACTTAGTAGTTGTTTGAAAAAATACACATAAATTGAAAGAAAAATAACAACCGAATTGTATTTTTAACTAACCATAATTATTTACTAATGAGGGGTATGTTGCTTGCTGAGCCCTGGGTAGAACACTGCCTTCTTCATTTCTCATTCTACATTTTTCTGTACATTTTTTCTACATTTTGGACTGTGCTTGCATTTCATCCCAGTAAGCCTCTAAAACTCGGCTTTGCAAGGATATGACATCATCTAAAGGAATGTGGCATGGTAATATGGTTTGGATTTGTGTCCCTGCCCATATCTGATGTTCAGTTGTAATCCCCAGTGTTGGAGAGGGAGCCTGGTGGGAGGTGATTGGATCGTGGGGTCGGAGTTCTCGTGAATGGTTTAGCACCATCTCTTCGGTGATGTTCTGGTGATACTGAGTTATTATGGGATCTGGTTGTTCAAAAGTGTGTGGCACCTCTGCGCCACCTTTCTTCCTCCTGCTTGGCTGTGTCAAGTGCTGGCTCCCCTTTCACATTCAGCCACGATTGTAAGTTTTCTGAGGCTTCCCCAGAAGATGCTGCCATGATTCCTGTACAGCCTGCAGAACCGTGGGCCAATTAAATCTCTTTTCTTTATAAACTACTCAGTCTCAGGTATTTCTTTATAGCACATGAGAACAAACTAATACACGTGGCCAGAGGTTGAAAGTGTGAAGTACCTTAAGCTCATTCAGCATCTGACAGATTTCACTTCGTTTTCCTGGGAAATTTAAAGCATTCCAAAGCTAAAATTTAAATTAGGCACACAGTTGGGAAACTGTGGCTCTAACACAGTAGGTACTCAGGGGCTTTGAAGTAGATGAATTATCTCTTTCAGGTAAACCATTCTATGATGTGTTAGTTTTTATTGCTTTCCTTATACTAGTCTGGATAGAGTACATGTAAAGAAAATAAATTAAAATCACCCATTTCTCTTGCTTTTGGACTAAAAGACCCCTTTACTATCAAATCAAGTAACTAGTGTCAGCATCTAGATACTGATAATCTTTAACACTTAAGGTTGCTACTTTAATTGTTGGAAAAAGGGACAAATGCCTTTTTAAAAATATATACTTGCCCAGGAGAACTCATTTTTCTCCATGCTGGCCAGTTGTGTTCCCTTTCTGCTTGAACTATATAGGACTTTAAAATCTGTTCACAGTTTACCAGCTGTATATGGTACTACTTTTTCAGTAATGTTGTATTTTAATGCAAAATTACTCAATTTGTCGACTTTTTGTTTATGCAAGCTAAAAACATTCAGCAAGCATGTGAATCTTGCTTAGAAGAGGTGAAACTGGGAAAGGAAACAAAACGTTAATGCGTAAAATCCTTTTTACTTGGCATGGACAGGGGATAGAGTACTCTAGAAAGTCCCATACTCTGAGAAGGAGAATTAGTACCTAAATGCTGACTCGGGGGTTCCATCTTGTGTCAATGGCAACTTACTGTTAATGGCTACCTTGAGTGTGTGTTGAGAAGGATTCTGAGGAAGTAAGATCTTCAGAAAATTCTGTGCAATGATCAATCTGATGTCTGTCATAGACTGGAGAATCAGGGCTAAGTGGAAACATACTTGCTGCATGTTTGCCATCTCTGGCTGAAAATATATAGTACTGCAGAATACTCCCCCTACCTCCCATTTTTAAGGGGACAAAAGCACCAGATCTCACTTTTGCTTAGTTATTTTACAGTTTCATATTAAAACAGAAAATAAAACAAATAGCATAAACATTCTGTCAAGTTTTAAATAAGGTGCTCAGGCTAATAGAATGTTGGATAAACAGTTTTCTGTTATAGAAGACCAAATACTGCATGTTCTCACTTATAAGCGGAAGCTAAATGAAGAGAACTCATGAACACAAAGAAGGGAACAATAGACATTGGGGCCTACTTCAGGGTGGAGGTTGGGAGGAGAGAGAGAAGCAGAAAAAGTAACTATTGGGTACTAGGCTTAGTACCTGGTTGATGAAATAATCTGTACGAACCCCTGTAATATGAGTTTACCTATACAACAAACCTGCATATGTACTAAATAAACCTGCACATGTACTAAAATAAATTTTTTAAACCAGTTTTCTGTTATAATATTGATAAGTCAGGCCAGATGAGGGAGTAAATACATCTTTGGGGACTGTCTTCAAAGTAAAAATATTACAAAATTTTAAGAATACAGCTACCTTGAGTTTGAAAATATTTGAGCAGCAGTCTTTCCTATTTTGAAGGAATAATTGCCTTTATTTGATACTCAATTGAAATAGATGCAATTGCAATTCTTGAAATGCTCATTGCAGATCTTTTAAAAAATATTTTGAGATAATTGTAGTTGTAAGAAATAATAGACCCCACATACCCTTCACCCAATTTCCTATTCCAGTGTTAACATCTTGTACAATATCACAATCAGGAAATTGACATTGATACTTAGAGTGGCAGAAGGCAGCCAAATGCCTAGGCTGATAGGGGCAGGTTCCCAGTGAAATCCCACCACCAAGCAGAAGACAGTTTAAAGCCTGAAAGTTAAATCCTTGGACCAGATTGAGAACTTATCTTCCCCTTTGATGTGCTTTCCTCTGATCTGTTTCCACCTTTCACCTATTTTACATATACCGACCCTTTCCTAATTGGTTTTTCTACACTGTTGTGCCCACATCTGAGTGATGTCTTTGCTTTACCCTGTCAGCATACTCACAAACCAATCAGCACACACTCCCCATTCTGAGCCCATAAAAGGTCCCAGACCCAGCCACACAGGGGACTTTCCTGCCTTCTGGTAGGGGAACCACCCCACCCACCCTGCATCCCCTCTCTGCTGAGAGCTGTTCCATCACTCAATAAAATTCTTTTCTGCCCTCTTTATACTTCAATGTCCAACATATCCTCATTCTTCTTGGGCGTGGTACAAGAGCTCAGGAACTGCTGAATGTGGGTACAAGCTATAACATTGGTTAGCTGGGGCACGCCAGCTGCCTTGCAAAGTGACTGAGAAGAAAAATCCTGCATCAATACAATACACCCACCTATTCAGATTTCACCTGTTTTATGTGCACTTGTGCACTTGTGTAGGTTTGTATTTTAAATGTGATTTTATAACACATGTAGATTCTTTTGCTCACTACCATAGTCAAGCTACAGAACAGTTCTATTAAAAGGATTCCTTGTGCTGCCCTTTAATAGTCATGGCCACCTTCCTCCTCCCCCTCCTCAAACCACTGGAAGCCACTAATCTCTCTTCCATCTCTCTAATTTTGTCATTGCAAGAATATGAACAAATGGACTCATACAGTATGTACCATTTTGAGATTCGCCTTTTCAACACAACATAATGCCCTTGAGATAGATCCAGTTTGTTGTATACATCTGTATTTCATTCCTTTTATCACTAAGCAATATTCCATAATATGGATTCCATATTATGGCTTGTTTAATTAATCACTCTTAATGCACATTTTATGAAAAGGTCAGAAAAGCTAGTAAATGGAAATGTTAAAAGCACAAGCTCCCTTACATGCACAAAACCTGAGAGTGGAACTCAGGAGTTCACCAATATAACTTTTATCTTTATCTGCTCATGTTTTGTGAGGTTGTGGAAGGTTTGAAAGTTATCACCCTTATTATGGTGAAAACTTGATTAATAGAAACAGCACACTGATGAGAAATAATATGTTTTCAGCTATAAGCAGGGACTGATGACTTCTTTGTGGCCTATTCCCCGGATCACAAATACATTTTACTTCCAGTAAAAAGTATGAGCCATTGGTAGTGGCTGCCTGGAGGTCAGTGATGAGAAGAATTTGGAGGGTGAGTTCAGGCTCAGCAGGAAGAGAACCCAGTTGACACTTGATGTCTGCCACAGGCACTGGCAAAGATATTGCCACATCTGTACCAGCTGTTTGTTAACAGTGGTGTTAACAGAGCTAAAGAAAGGTCATGCCAGCTGAAAAGCCAATGATCAGCACGAAGTGTATGAAAACGATATTTAGCAAAACAAATCTGATAAATGTGTCTTTAGCATGGTTCAGGTGAGGAGCTCCCAGTAAACAGCGTGCCCCTGGAAAATTTGTCTCTGTAGTGTGAAAGGATGGCTCAAGCCAGGAACTCCTTCATTACAATCTCCTGATTCCATTTTAGTCTGACTCCACACACATCCAGGAAACATCTCATTCTGAGAGAGAAAGCACCCACCAAAGGAGCGAAAAATATTTTCTTCTCCTAATATTTGAGTGTTTAGAAAGTGACAAGCAGAGTGGTAATGCATTTTCTATACATTACCTCATTAAGTCTCCCACAATCTTGTGAGGTTGGGTCCTATCATTATCCCCATGTATAGATGAGGACTGAGGACTTGAGAATATCAGCAACCCACCCAAGCTAGGAGAGGGATGCCCTCAGTGTGCGTCTCCACTGCCGCTCTTTCTCCTTGGCCTTTTCTTCCTTAGTACAAGTTAATAAACCGGAGTTTATTTTATATTCAAATCTTTATATGCAAATCTCTGGTGAGTCTGGGCCGCATGACTGCTCCCACATTCCCAGAGCCTGCTCATCACTGAGCACTGGCAAAACCAAGTACCTGGATCTCCAAGGCTAAGGGCCAGACCTGGGAAATAGAGACCCAAGTGAGTTTTCTGAAGCCACTTTGCTTAGTTGTGAACCAACCTTCCTAAACCACACTCTTCTTCATCACACTAACAAACCACTGAACAAATCTCATCACAGATGATAAAACTACTGAAAAAAAGTTATATTTACAGGGTAAGAAAGTAAGTTAATGTTAATAACAATATGTCTAATAGTTGAATTGGAACAAGTTTCCCAAGGAGACCTACAAGGAAATACAAAGAAATAATTTGGGGGACTAAATAAGTGTTAAGAATTTTAGATAGGTACACACCTTTACATTAAAATGAAAAAAAGTTTATATTTTTTTCCTTTCACATAGCTGTTTATTCCCATTATAATACTCTATGAACAACTTTTGTTCTTACTTCTAGATTTTATGGCTACCAAAATATTTAAAAATTTCTAAACTTATACTCACTTTCCACTTTATAACTTTAAGTTGTGAAGAAAGAAAAACACACTCTTGTTATTGGTTAACCATGAATAATAGTCTTATTTCATTTCTTGTAATATTATTCATTAAGAAACATTCAATGCTAATCGGAATATGTGTTCTATTCTTTAAGAATATTATTAGATAAATATTCTTTAAAGTATGTTGGAATCTCTTAATCTTATTTAGAAAAACAGGAAATATAAGAGATTTTTTTAAAAAGAAAAACTTGGCAAGTTACAGAGCAAATGAGGACCCGAAATGGGCCGCAGCTGGGTTTGTTTTTATATCTTTTTTGGTGACAGGGTCCTGCTCTGTTGCCCAGACTGGAATACATGAAGATCATGGCTCACTGAAGCCTCCACTTCCTGGGCTCAAGCAATCCTTCCACCTCAGCCTCCTGAGTAGCTGGAATTACAGGCATGAGCCCCTGTGCCTGCTAAGCTGGGTCTCTTTTTGACCTATCAAGGGAAATTCATTGTGCCTTGTAGCTCATACCAGTATTCCATGTTTTCTAAATGAGTAGAAGAGACCATTACAAGGGAGCTATGTGTCAAATCAGCCACATGTTGTAGTAAGTGCTATGACACAATTGACCATCAATCCATGTGAAAGGTAAACAGAATTGTAGAGCAACAGGGACTCTTATTCATTGCTAGTAGAAACGCAAAGTGGTACAGCCACTTTGGAAGACAATCTAGCAGTTTCTTATAAAACTAAACATACTCTTACTGAATGATCCAGCAATTGTGCTCCTTGGTATTTAGTAAAATGAGTTGAAAACTCTGTCCACACAAAAACCTGCACATGGACGTTTATAGCAGCTTTATTTATATTTGCCCAAACTTGGAAACAACCATGATGTCCTTCAGTAGGTGAATAAATGAATAAGCCATCGTACATCCAGACCGTGGAATATTATTCAGTGCTAAAAAGAAATGAGCTATCAAGCCAGGAAAAGACATGGAATAAGCTTAAATGCATATTACTAAGTTAAGGAAGCCAATCTGAAAAGGCTACATAGGCCAGTCACAGTGGCTCATGCCTGCAATCTTAGCACTTTGGGAGGCAAAGGTGGGAGGATCTTTTGAATCCAGGAGTTCGAGATCAGCCTGGGCAATGTGGTGAAACCCTTTCTCAAAAAAAAAAAAAAAAAAAAAAAAAAAAAAGAAGAAGAAGAAAGAAAGAAGGAAAGAAAGGAAGGAAGGAAAGGCAAGGCTACATACATACTGTATGATTCCAACTATATGAAATCGTAGAAAAAGTAAAACTATGAAGAAAATAGGAAGATTAGTAGTTCCAGGGGTAGGGTCAGGGAGGGAAATCAGAGCACAGCTTTTTAGGACAGTGAAACTATTCTCTATGATTCTATAATGGTGAATACGTGTTGTTACACATTTGCCCAAACCTATAGAATGTACACCACTAAGAGTCAATCCTAATGTAAACTATGAACTTTGAAGGAGAATGATGTGTCTATGTAGGTTTATAAATGTAACAAAGGTATCACTCCGTGGGGAAAAGAAAGAGAGATCAGACTGTTACTGTGTCTATGTAGAAAGAAGTAGACATAAGAAACTCCATTTTGTTCTGTACTAAGAGAAATTCTTCTGCCTTGAGATGCTGTTAATTTGTAACCCTAGCCCCAACCCTGTGCCCTCAGAGACATGTGCTGTGTTGACTCAAGGTTTAATGGATTTAGGGCTGTGCAGGATGTGCTTTGTTAAAAATGTGTTTGAAGGCAGTGTGCTCGGTAAAAGTCATTGCCATTCTCTAATCTCTAGTACCCAGGGACACAATACACTGCGGAAGGCCACAAAGACCTCTGCCCAGGAAAGCCAGGTATTGTCCAAGGTTTCCCCCATGTGATAGTCTGAGATATGGCCTTCATGGGAAGGGAAAGACCTGACCGTCCCCCAGCCCGACATCGGTAAAGGGTCTGTGCTGAGGAGGATTAGTGAAAGAGGAAGGCCTCTTTGCAGTTGAGATAAGAGGAAGGCATCTGTCTCCTGCTCGTCCTTGGGAATGGAATGTCTTGGTGTAAAACCCCATCGTGCATTCTATTTACTGAGATAGGAGAAAACCACCTTATGGCTGGAGGTGAGACATGCTGGTGGCAATACTGCTCTTTACTGCACTAAAATGTTTGTGTAAAGTCAGACATAAATCTGGCCTACGTGCCCATGGAGGCACAGCACTTTTCCTTAAACTTACTTATGACACAGAGATCTTTGCTCACGTTTTCCTGCTGACTGTCTCCCCACCATTACCCTATAGTCCTGCCACATCACCCTCACCTAAATGGTAGAGATAGTGATCAATAAATACTGAGGGAACTCAGAGACCAGTGCCCGCGCTGGTCCTCCCTATGCTGAGCGCCAGTCCCCTGGGCCCACTGTTCTTTCTCTACACTTTGTCTCTGTGTCTTATTTCTTTTCTCAGTCTCTTGTCCCACCTGACGAGAAACACCCACAGGTGTGGAGGGGCTGGCCCCCTTCACACTCTAATGGGGGATGTTGATAATGGGGGAGGCTGTGCATGTGTAGGGGCAGGGGATATATGGGAAATCTTTGTACTTTATGCTCAATTTTGCTGTGAACTTAAAAGTGCTCTAAAAAGTCTATTAAAAAGAAAAAATACAGTAAGCAGGACTGGAAAAAGAAGGAACTTTATCAAAATGAGGATGAGAAAGAATCTGTGTTCATCACCTAGATCATTCTAACGGGCTTATGTTGAGGCTAAGAATCAGATTCTTGGCCTAAACAAGGTACAATTATCTGAGAAAATTTTATTGTTAACAATTGGATCAAGATACCTTGTTAGCAGGAATATGGCATTGTTGGTGAAATGGTTTGGTAAGATATTTCCAGACCAAATTCAGAATGTGTAGAAAGGCTGTAGATAGAGGGAAGGGTCAGAGACCTCTTCTCACTCCTGCAGTAAGATGGTCAGTGCTCAACTGTACAGAAAAGTCAATGAACACAGACGATGTCAAGTTTACTGTGGGTGCATGATATAAAAATACCTCCATTGCCTTAAAAAATTTACATTGATCACTAATATGGAAATGTTGGTAAGAGTGGATATTTTGTTGGGGCAGTTTGAAAAGGAGGACAAGTGAGCCACTGACAGCTGGGCTACAGAAAGAAAATGTATTTCTCATTTTAAGAAATTCTGATATATGCCAGGTGCAGTGGATCAGGCCTGTAACTCTAGCACTTTGGAAGGTTGAGGGGGGCAGATCACTTGAGACCAGCCTGGGCAACTAAGGACACCCCATTTCTACAAAACATTGAAAAATCAGCCAAGTGTGGTGGTGCATACCTTTTCAGATTGGCTTCTTTCACTTAGTAATATGCACTTAAGATTCCTCTATGTCTTTTCCTGGCTTGATAGCTCATTTCGTTTTAGCACTGAATAATATCCTACGATCTAGATGTATCGGGGTTTATTCATTTACCTACTAAGGACATCATGGTTGCTTCCAAGTTTTGGCAAGCTACTTGGAGGCTGAGGCAGAAGAATCACTTGAGCCCAGGAAGTCAAGGTGGCAGTGAGCTAGGATCACACCACTGCACTCCAGGCTGGGCCACATCTCTGTAAAAAGTAAAAATAAAAAGTAAAATAAAATAAATTCTGATATACAGAATCCACACCTATACAACCCATAATTAGATGAAAGTTATTTTCTAACATGTCATCCAATTTCATACAGTTTACTAAAGGACTTCCTTAATCAAACAGATGTGGGTAGATTCTAATTGTTCCTAGGAATGCACAAGAAAAATAACATGTGTTTTTATCTCCAAAGTAAGTAGGATTATCCAGTGGGCCATGTATGCATTTGCTTGTCCCACTAAAAATGGGAAACAATGTTAAAAATGACATTTCTCAAAATGAGTATGAAAATTTTTGAAATTTGCTAGCCTCTCTTATCCTTATGTGACTGAATGACATCATTTTGATTTTTGAATTGGACGTGGTGGTTGTAGGGGATGCAAAAATCCCTTTAGTACCTAGAGTCACTTGAGGTCTTAGTCTAATCCTGCCTCAAGGAATTTAACACCTGAATGGGGCAACTCACACACAGGGAACAAAGAGAGAATCTGCAATATTCCATCATCATGTGACAAATTGTGTGTCACTGTCTATAAATGCAACATAAATTTCACAAGACAATGGATAATAATTTTATTGAAGAGATGAGACTTAAGCCAGGCCAAAAGGATGTAGTAGAACCTTGGTAGTCAGAAAAATATTTGAGATTTGTATAGGCCATGGAGGGTTTAAATAGCTAGACATTTCCACGACACCTGAATATGATTCCTTAAGTATAAAAACCTTTACTTAAAGAAAATATCTTAGGAATATGCTGTCAAACACTCTCATTTGTTGAGAATTCAGGGGCTGGGGGTAATTACATACAAACAAATATGGCATCAGGAGAGTGTTTTTCACAGGCATTTGGGTTTTTACCACAGGCATTGTTTGGAAGCTGGTTGGTGGGGAGGCACAAAGTCCCATCACAAGCTCAAGAGCCCCTGGGAAAATCCATTCTTCTGGAATTTATGGCCCAGAAAAGCCAACAGTTTGAATTTGCTTCAGGGACTCTTGCCCTTCTAGTCCAGTATTTAGGGAATTTGTTTTGTTTGTTTTTGAGAAAAGAAGAGAAATTGGGGTTAAGAACAGAATTTCTTTTTTTTTTTTGTGCCCAAATTATTTAAGAAAACAAAGTCTAAAATAGGCAGGTCTTAGCCTCTTCAGCAAACATTAAATTGATTCATTCTTTTTCCATTTAAGTCATGAGAAATTTCTGAATCCTTCACCTTCTCTTTACCCCAAGCCTTACATATATATATATATATATATATATATATATATATATATATATATATATATATATGTAAACTTTTATCAGAAAAAGTTACCATGTAGGTATTAGGAATCTAAGTGGAAAAAATTAATGATGACATATTCAGATGCTAAACAGAATGTAAGATATAATTTAATATTGATTAAAACAGGCCCATGTTTTACTGTTGGAGAAAATTTAAGAAAGAATAAGAGTTCTGTTTTTGCTTCTTGTGCTCAGTAGAGAATTTTTTTTCTTTTCTTATCACATTTCTACCAAATTTTACCTTTAAAGTTCTCAAACCAAGGAGACAGTATGTTTGCCTTATTTAAAACCTTAAAATTCAAATGCTACTGCTACTAATGAAGTTTTGGTTCCTTCCAAGAAGATATTCAACTGAGAATATATTGCTAATGATCTGCAAAGAATAAGACACAAACTAAATGTGAAACCAAAAGGGTAGTAAGAATGAAGAATGAAAATAGGACACCGTGAAAGTTAACTGCACTTAGAGCTTTGTAGATCACAGGTCTGGAGTGAAATTTTTAAAAATGCAAAAAAAAAAAAAAAAAAAAAGAACTAACTAGAAAGAGTGAAAAATTAACTTCTTCAAGTAATTATTATTTCTTTTATTTTGCTGTAAAAGTCAAATTACTATAGAGTAATTTTAGACTGACTATATTAGACTGACTACATCTCTGCCTTGGAGTATATGGTCTCAAATAGTGACAAATGTTACATATGAACAAATCTGTCTTTCACAGAACATTGAAACACTTTGCTCTACTTTTCTTCCACAGTCCAGTGAAGTAGGGGAAGTTCTAATATTTTTTTGTTTTGCAGGTAGAGATGCTGAAGGAAAATGAGGGCAAGTACCTTCCCAGAGATACTACAGTGAGTCAGGGGCAACTTGGGCTATAGGCAGCAGCAGTATTTGCCTTAATACTCTGATGTTTTCAAGGAGACAAATATATATGGAGCTATTCCATTTTCTTTAGTTAGTGATCCTAAAAGATGATCCGGCAATCTCCCGAATCAAAGAATAAAACATGGCCCCACTGGAAGTTTAATAAGTGAAATTATTACAAAGAGGGTCTAAATAACAAACAGAGCATACTTCCATAAATACTTCAGCAGATTTTGTTTTTGAGTTTAAGAGCTAATATTGTAATTCAGATCAAGTAATACCCCCATGATTTTGTTGTTGTTGCCCTTCTTGTTATTGTCTTGTTTAATGAAAAGAAGATCAAAAAGCAAAAAGTGCAAGTAATAGAGGTTCCAGGTAAAGGTTAAAGGAAGTAGATGCTTTTATTGAGAGAAGACTTAGTACTACCAAGTTTTACAAGGGTTTTTTCCTTTCTTTCTCCTCCTTTCCCTTTCTGGCCTTCATCTTCCTTACCTTTGTGAAGATGATTGACAGAGGATCAAATTAGAAAAAGTGGGCTTATTTAAGGTAGAGGCAATGTGGTTAATTAAATAGGATCTTTGTTCCACTATCAGAAAGATGACTCCCCAGAATTTGTTAAGGTAATGTCAACTAGAATTAGCAGTATCCTAGAATGTTCACATAAGCACTGGCAGTCTAGGAACCTAGTTAGGATTAAGCAATAATAAGCCTAATTCTAATCTGTTATGAACAGGGGTTTTCAACGTAACAAGAGGCCCCAAAAAAGTCATATAAACACTGCAGGGATTGGATTAGAAAGTTGATTTATTTCATCTGAATAATATAATCTGAAATAAAAAGCTCAGTGGATGGCTCAATAACAGAAAAGAATCAGTGAACCAGAAGATAAAACAATAGAAATTACCAAATCAGAAAATAGAGAAAATAGACTGAGAAAAAAAAAATGAACAGAGCCTTAAGGACATGTGAGACTATAACAAAATAGTTATCATTTGGAGTCTCAGAAGGAGAGAAGAAAGAAGGCATAGCTGAAAAAGTAGATGAAGAAATAAGGGCTTAAAATTTTCTACATTTGTCAAGATACACAAACTCACAGATTCAAGAAACTGAGCAAACTCTAAAAAGGATAAACCCAAAGAAATGATATATGCTGTGATTGAAATTCTGAAAATTAAATACAAATAATAAATTCTTAAAAGAAAACAGAAAAAAATGACATGATAATTGTAGGAAAGAAACAATTCTAATGACAGCAGATTTCTTATCAGACACTGTGGAGACTAGAGGAAAGCAGGACAATATCTTTTAAGTGCCAAGACAAACTAAACAACAACAAAAAACTACCATCAACTCAGAATTTACTACCCAGTGAGCACATCCTAAAGAAATGAATGAAAATCAAGACATTCTTTGATGAAAGAAAAGTAAGAATTTATCACCAGCAGACCTACTCTAAAAAAATAGCTAAAGGAGATGCTCTAAATAGAAGGAAAAAATAAAAGAAGAAAATGTAGAACATTAGGAAAGAAGAAAATAGCACAGTAAACAAAAATATGGGTAAATATAATAGGCTTTCCATCTTCTCTTGAGCTTTATAAATTATTTTTGGTTGTTTATGCAAAAATTATAATACTTTCTGATGTGGTGCTAAAAGCATATAGAGGAAATATTTAAAACAATTGTATCACAAATTGGGAAGGATTAAAGGGCATAAAGGAAAGTAAGGTTTTATACTTTACTCAAATTGGTAAAATGAAGACATTGGTATACAGTAATAAGTTATGTAAATATGATGTAATATCTAGAGCAGCCACTAGAAATTCTATGCAATGAGATACACTTAAAAACATTATATAATTCTGAAAAAACATGTTCAAGTAACCTTCAGGAAGGCAGGAAAGAGAAAACGGAAATGAGGAAACAGAAAAGAAACAAAAATTGCCATAGTTAAACTCTAATCAGTTATATTAAGTGTAAGTAAGTGTCCTAAATATACCAACTAAAAGATAAAGATTGGTCAAGGGGATTTAAAAATATGACCCATCTATATAATGTGTACAAGAAACTCACTTCAAATATAATAACCTAGGCAAATTGAAGGCAAAACATGGGAAAATATATTATGAAGACATTGATCATGGGAAAAAAGGACTAACTTAGTATCAGATAATGTAGACATCAGAACAAGAAAAATTGCTGAAGGCATAAAGCAAAATTATATAATGATAAAAGAGACATTAGCAATTCTTAATGTTTAGGCACTAAACAATAGAGCTGCAGAATATGTGCAACAAAAATTGATAGAACGGAAAGAAGAAAAAGACAAATCCACAATTGTAGTTGGAGACTTTAAGACCTCTTTCTCAAGAATTGGTAAATCAATTAGACAGAAAATCACTAAATTATTTTCGCAGAGCACTTGGAGACAGTATTAAACTTGGAATTTCTCTAACACATACTCTTTCATAAGCATGGAACTTGGTATTCACTGGATTCCTTAGAAAACTCCAAAGCTCTTGGCCTGGCACAGTGTCTCATGCTTGTAATCTCAGCACTTTGGGAGGCCAAGGTGGGTGGATCACCTGAGGTCAGGAGCTCAAGACCAGCCTCGCCAACACGACGAAACCCTGTTTCTACTGAAACAAAACAAAACAAAACAAAAAACCACAAAAATTAGCTGGGTGTAAAATAACAAAAAACAAAAACAAAACAAAACACACACACACACACACACACAAACTCCAAAGCTCTTTTTAATTTTTCTCAAAATAGCACTGCCCATAGTGGGAGGGCTTAAAGAGTCACCCTGCTTTCTCACGGACTTTAAAATCTGCAGATCCAAAGTTAGCATAACTTGATATCCTAGACCTATTCCATGCAGAAGGAAACGTTCTGACATGTCACAGCACAAAAGTAAAGTCTCAGACTCCATGAGGGAAGGCCTAATAGACATTAAACTTAAGGCAGATACAAAAACAGTGGATCAAAGTCTCAGGAATGTAGAGTTCAGCACAAAACAAATGTAAGATTATAGAGGACTGTCAAAAACAATAAAACAGAACAAAACAAACTAGAACATGGCTAAGAATGCAAGAAGCACCATAGAGAAGGGCACATGTGAAATGATTAATAAGGAAAGGCCTCCAGCCAAGATAGAAAATCATCCTGTGACCAGAGGTAAAGGCACAGAGCAGGAGATAGACCCAGAGGGAAGAAATAATTATGATAATGGAAGAAAACACACATGTGACTGGAACATAGTTCAAGGAAGACTTCCAGGTAGAAATGTTGCCTGAATTCAGTTCAAGGGAAAGAGTAAGAATTTACAATGCTTGTTCTTTCTTTTTGTTTTGAGGGAGAAGGGTGGTATACTTAGCTGCCAGTCTATAGTTGTGTGAAACATTTGAGAAGGGCATGAAGAAAGGTCAACACAGCACTGGTGTCAGGAAAACACTAAGCACCAGGAAAGAAATCCCCACATGTTCATCTATCATATTTGCTGAATAATACCCAGGAGCACAGAAATTTGGCTACAGGGAAGAAGGTTTTGCTTGCTTCATATACCTACCACTATCTTAAAGCTGTTCTCTGTTAATTAAACATAGTGCATTAACCTGTTAAAATTACTGTCAAGTTTCAGATATCCCTAGATGTATACCAATATGGGAATCCTTGAAAATTACAACCTGCTAAGGAAGCTAACATAGTACAGTATTGACCTGAGTGATTCTAGTTCATGAAAAAAGAAGAAAAAACCCAACTTGTGAACATTTAGATCAGTTTAAATGTCCTTGTTTGCATTTGGTGTTACTGAGCTTCCTGGAGCTAGAGAAATTTTAACATGGGTTAGAGGATTTTTAACAGGGGCTACAGAAGAGATATTTGCACTGTTAGGCAATGGAATGGATAACCTGTGAAGTCCTTTCCAACTTAAAGATTCAGAGATTTGCTTCTCTTTGAGGAACATAAATTTATTTATCTAGGTATTGGAGAATCCAAACAGCATCTGATAAGCATTTATTATCTTCAAGGGCTATGGCTGATGCTTACTAACATTCAGCTTAATTTAAACTTTATTTCTTTTTAGCACCTATACTAGATATAGGTATTGAAAATATGGAGATTATTGAGATACAATTCATAAATTCAAGAAGCTTATAGTCTAATTGGAAGTAGACACCAAACCAACAATTTCACTTTAATCAGACAAGCCTCTGGTACCATTTCAAAGATAAATAAAAGCAACAACACCAACAAAACAGGCCTCTAAGGATTCTACTTACTAATTTACCTCAAATGCATTTCTTGGGAATCACTGGCTTCCTGTTGGAACTAGACTCTTCAGCAAAAATGTCCCAAGTTTAGCCAAGTACAACTTTTAGTTCACCATAGAGATGAAACATTAACCTTTATGAACCAAAGCTAAAGCCATGCAACAAAAATTTATTGAGCAGGTATTATGTGTTGACTACTGTACTAGGAGAGACGGCATCAAAGATGAATAACATTCCTCCCTTCATGGGGCTGATAATCAGTGATGCAGACAGGAGCAAGCTATGTGAACAAATGCAATACGAAGTGACTAAGGAGTATGCAGAAGAAGGACACTACTAATTCGGATGTAGGAGGGAAATAAATGGGGAATAGGAAGGCTTATCCAAGGATGTAAAATGAAGCACAGCTGAGGCTGCAAAAGAGTTTCCTCTTAAGTTTACCTAATGAAAGGGTATTTGGGCTTAAAGGATTGTGCTTGAATGTTTATGAACTAAGGAACTTGTATTTTTTTATGAAAATAAAAATGAGGATCATGAATTTCTGCAAAGGTGAAACCAGCCTTTGAGCAAATAGTTAATCCCAGTAGTTGACAAGAACGAAAGTGCGTAAGAGCAAACTAAGGAAGTAAGTGCAATGCAGTTATTGGGGCCTACTCCCCAAGACTCAGTAGGATGGGGTGAATCTGAATTTATAATAAGCACTTTAAAATTTTCCAGTGCAAACATTACATAGACTACACTTTGAGAATATTTTAGATGTATCCCAACTTTCCTACTACTAGGAAAAGCGCTAATGGCTCATCTCTTGCACAATTCCATCTTTCAGTCTCATCAAAACCACGTAAACTTTTCTGACTTACTATTACAGCTGAATTTTTTATTTATATAGCATAGACATATCTCACTTTCTCCTTGAGAAATACTTTGTAGGTGGTATCTAAAAAGCCATGTGTAATTCAGATATTTATCAATCAATTGATGTCAAACACATCAGAGATTTGATATATATAAAAATGTTATAAATATGTGTGAAATAAAATCATCTAATTTTTGTACAAATCCAAATTTAAGTTGAGTTTGCTTTAAAAGCAACATATGCCTGTAGATTATGTTGCTTCTTTTTTTTTTTCCTAGCATACAGCATCTTGTTGCCCCTCTGTTAAACAAAGATCTAAGGATTTAAGAATGAGAATCTGGGGCTAATTTATCTTAACAAAATCCTAAATTGTTCAAGGTGGATCATCTTTCTGAAGAACCATATACTTTGATATACTTATAGGCATATTTGTCTCACATTCTCATTGATAAATAGTTTTTAGGCAGCATCTAAAAAAAGCCATGTGTAATTCAGATATTTATGAATCAATTATCAATTATTTCTAATATAATTATGATGTTTATTTCATGCACTGATGACTCTAATTACTTCCTACATCTTTGACTGGAAACTGTTAACTCCTTTTCCACTGACATAAATTGGCAAAGCCCTTTACAAAAAAAAAAAATCATCTTCAGCCACTGAAGTGTATTTTCCTCTCACTTAATCAAAAACTTAATCAAAATGGCTTTCCTCAGATCATCCAGAGAGCAATGACTCTCCATTCATATTTGTGGTGCTAAGACCTGACCTGTTTTCATACAAAGTATCCCTGGTAGGGATGCTGACAGTAAGGTTCTTCTACCTTCATTCACCAGTTCATCTGGCCACTTCCTCTGAGAACAAATACTTCTGAGCAAAGGTTTTCATTTTCAGAGGCAATGTTATACAAATAATGTTTTACATTATCTATCCCATTACTATTCTAGTCCACTTAGTCTCATTCAGAATTTATGAGCCCTTTTAAAATCAAGATGACCTTTTCCCAAATTTCCAGATAACCCACAACCAACCTCTTTCCCAGCTCTAAAAGCATGGCAGAATGGAAAGTGCATTGAGTAGACTGTGGAAGACATGGATTCTGACTGATCCTGTTATCACCACTAACTAGGCAGTCCCTTCTTTTTGTGAGGTAAGATACTTAGAATCCATCATCTTTGTCTCAGAGATATAGTTCAATGCCTCTCCTTTTCTTTTTGTATAATTTTCCTGATGCCAAAGTACCACCTTAGCTTCTTAAAAGAAAATAAACAGTAACAATTTGTGAAGCAAATCCTAATTAGTGTCCTTTGTCTTCATTTGTTGAAGTAAAATTTGGTGAAAGTATCCAGTCTTCTTTTTTAGTGGTGAATTGTTAAATAAATCAAGACCTAACTCACATTTGATGCCATGTATTACGAAGGTAATCACTCTTCAGTCTTCAGCAGGGAGTACAAAATAAAACTTAATTTGGAGTTTTCTCATGAATCATGTACAATAACTCATCTTGAGCTGAGCTGAGGATGCGACAGGCAAAGCATTTTAAACTTAAGAGAAGGTATGAACCTCAACACATGAATTATTTTTATAGAGATGGATTTAATCATAAATAATTCTTATTTATTCTTTGAGTCAAGATTGGCAGAGCGTATTAGGAAATAACCTTGTTAAGAGTTATTATATACAATTAAATGTAATAAAAACTATATTTTATAATAACAGTAACAATAGCTAAGATTGAGCTCCTACTATTTATAAGGCACTATTCTATGGGTTTTATGGTTACATCATAAATACTTTCATTAACACCATGAGCTAGGGATATTATTACCCCTATTTACATACAAGAAAAGAAAGGTTGAGAACTTGCCTGAGTTTGCATAACTAGTAATTTTTCAAGCTAGAATTTAAAAATATACAGTCTGAATGCAGAGTTTGGACTCTTAAACCACTGTACTATGCTGCCTTAAATGAACCAATTGGCAATTTAAACAGACTGGGTTTATTGGTCTAAAACAGTGAAGTTTAATTATATACTCTCATGTCTTAGAGTGTTTCAATAGAGTGAGATTTTGAGTTTTTGACCACTAAGAAGATAAGTAATTGTGACGAGAAAATGTTACAAAATTTCCCCAAATTTTCCATACATTTGCTTAAGCTTTTGGTATATATGATGGCTTTTCTATAGGTTAGAGTGCACAGATCCAAACAAATGAAGAAATAAATACGCTTTAGCATAACACTTAGAAACAGCTGGTTGTTAGTTACAACAGCTCATTTTTTAGTGATGTATGTTTGCTTTTGTGATTTTATACTGTATGAATAAAGTTATATATTCTGCTAGTAAAATTAGCAATTAAGTATTTCAGCATTGCGTGGTGCTTCATAAAAAGCGCTATGTAGTCATGCATGAATCAAAACATTTATTGAGTACCTACTATGTACCAGATATTGAAGATAAAAATAATTAAGAATTCTTGTATAATTAAGATAAAACAAATATATAAAGAAATATCTACAATAAATTGCTATATTGGATGTTATTAATTTATTGATCACATAGACATCACACTGAGTGTTAAAGACATAGTAACAAACAAAATTCCTGCTGTATATGGAAAGACAGATGATGTACAAATAAACATCTTGTGTCAGATGGAGAGAAGTATTACGAATAGGAAAAAGCAGATTCAGGTAGATAGGGAGTTTTGAGGTAGTGATCGCTATTTTAGGTGGTATGCTCAAGAAAGACTTTTTAGGTGATATCTGAGTAGAGACCTACTATGTAGTTATCAGGGGAAGAGGGTTTCAGGCAAGGGTAAGAGTAAGCGCAAAGACCCTTAGACAAGAAAATACTTAAAGGTACAGGAAACAGCAAAACCCTCATGTGGTTGGAGAGAAGCAGAAGTGGAAACTGGAGTTGTAGTGGGGCCTTAGGTTATATAGGGCCTTGCAGACATAATGGTTAGGAGTCTGGGTCTTTTTCTGAGTGTGATGGAAGCCATTCAAGTATATTGAAAATATGTGACATGATCTGCCTTAAATTTTGAAAGGGTCACCCTGCTTGTCATGTAGGTAACTCATAGAAATGGGGCTAAAATGGGAACAGAGAAGATAATTAGGAGGCTATTAAAATAAACATATGTGTGTATATTGTGCCTTAGATCAGAGTGAAAGATTTGGAGAAGGTGAGGAGTGATTATATCTGAGACATATTCTGACAGTAGAGATAATAGAATAGTTGGTGATTGAAAGTGGAATATGAAAAATGGAGAGAAATCAGGAATGAATAAAAAAAGTTTGGTTAGAGCAACTGAAAGGACAAAGTTGGCATTTACTAAGATGGGGAAGAGGAGAGAATGACCAGTTGTATTTGGGTGGGATGTTGCTCAGAAAGGTTTTGTAACAATAAATGATGCTTGAGGAAAGTCTTCATTAGGTATTATAAAGTTAGGAAAGGTGATCCAAGAAGCATGAACAAAGATTATTTCCATTAGTATAGGTACAAGGAGCCAAGGCAAGGGTGGACAAAAAAGTAAGAAGATTGTGAGAATTACAAGCAGTCTGTTAGAACTGAAACAGAACATGTTAAGATTGAATCCGAATAATGTGATCTAATGAACTAGGACAATATTCTACAGGTGTCTTGCTACATGCACAGAATTTAAGAAACATGGTCCAGATGCACAGCTTTAAAAATTTTTCATTTCAAGTCTGCCCTCTGCCATAGTCTCATGTGGATCTCTTTTTCTATCCTATGAAATGTCTATGTCTATCATCTTATGAAACCTTATAAAGACTTCTGATAATAGGCATTCCTATGTCTACCATCTTATGCCTATCATCTCAACCTTAATGGGGTCTCTACAGACACTAACATGAAGGTCTGGGACAGTGAGAGATTGGTGAGGCTGAGTACATGTAGCTTCGGGAAACAGCATGTTGGGTACTGACATGGTAGGATAGGTAGTCACTTCTCTCCACCTTAGCTTCTTAAAAGAAAATTAAAATAAACAGCAACAATAACAAGACTTGGCTACTCCTATCAGTAAATGTGTATGTAATTTTACAGACCCCAAAATAAATAGAAGTGAAACCACACTTCCTGGATACTTAAAGAGGAAAACACATGGTTAGAGATGTGTCTCTGAATCATCAGTCTCATCTGACTTGTAGATATACCCCCTAATTCTCTCGACTTGCTGTTGTAGATATTTGCTTCACTACAAACAAATACCATGTACTTTGGGGAGCAGAGGAGGGTGGATCTCCTGAGGTTGGGAGTCTGAAACCAGCCTGACCAACATGGACATACCCCACCTCTACTAAAAATACAAAATTAGTCGGGTGTGCTGGCGCATGCCTATAATCCCAGCTACTCGGGAGGCTGAGGCAGGAGAATCCCTTGAACCTGGGAGGCGGAGATTGTGATGAGCTGAGATTGCACCATTGCACTCCAGTCTAGGCAACAAGAGTGAAACTCCATCTCAAAAGAAAAAAAAATACCTTGAACCAGTGAGTCCATTTGTACAATTAAGGGCGTAGGATATGTACTGTTTGAAGCTGGGCTCAGTCAGGACTTTGAGTTTCTAAGTAAGTCAGTTAATGTCTTTGCCTCAATACCCCCTTAAGAAAAAAGTGAATAAAAACAATTGCTTTACCTACCTTGTAGGAGGGATGGGCTATGTGAAATTTCCCTTTATGAAATGCTTCACACATAGCTAAGCAGGTTAAATATGTAAGGCATTTCATAACATAATTCAAGCTTGTGAGTTAGCATTTCTCATGATTTGATCTTCCCGAGCAGCTTATAAACTCCTAATGAATAGGACCTGATCTTTTCACCCCAGTTCCTACATCCATTGCTCATTAGCCCCACTTTGGAAGCTTTTTAAAGTTACAAATTTCCAGTTCCTGCAGATACCTGCAGATATCCTGACTCAGAATCTCCAGGGATGGGCTCAGGAATAGGAGCTCCCATGTGACTCTGGTGATAGACAAGACTGGGGAACTATTATTACATGACATTGGATATTTTCTACCCCCAATAATGCCCAGTACCAGTAGTAATAGGAATGTATTTCTAAAAATGGAAAAAAATTAAAATATAAATATCTCTGCAAGAGGTAAATTTTTTAAAAAGTCACACCAACTTCTAAATAACATTGAGATATTTTGGTTAGAATAGGTTTTAATAGAGCAATGATTCATAGAAACCAACCTTGGTGCTAAAATTAAACATCTGGTCTTGAATCCTGACTTCCTATAGAAAGGGAAAGTGAAAAAGAAGGGAAAAAAGAAAAATTTCAAAATGTAACCTATGGTTGAGCCTGCTGTCATTGTCCTATTCCTCCTCCTCTTCTTTTTGGGTATGCAACACACACACACACACACACACACACACACACACACACACACACAGGACTGCATTAGTATCACTCTTCTAAACTGATAATTAGTGTATCTATTCCAATTATTAACCATTTGAGCACTTCCTATGTTCAAAGCCCCATTTTACATAGAAAAACAAATCCCTGGAATCATGCTTACAAGAAAGAAATAGGATAAATACACTTGTCACTATAATACAAATAAATGAAGGTAACACCCATCAGTTAAAATAGTCCCATGAACCTCTTTCCTCTTTGTCCTTCATTTACATGAGACCAGGCCCTGTTGTGGTCAGAATAAGAAGCCGGGAAGGATGAAATTAATTAGTTAAGCATCAGGGTTAGATTAGGTTAAAAGCAGAGAATGCTTATCAAACCGAGACACACGTAAATTAAAAGAAATTGTTCAGGGTCAGTCTATAAACAACAAACATTCTTTTAAGGAGTTTATATGATGTAGACCTGGATACTTGACCAGATTAATCAAGGAGACCTAGGGATCCAGGCTGTAAGCACATGCCATGAACTGAGTGGGAAAGGAGGTCCAGAACAGAGACCAAGAAAGGCCTTCATGGAGGAATAGAAATATGAAACAAATCTCAAAGAATGGGCAAGACATTTAACAGGCAGAGATAAGAGAAGGATGGTCTCAGTAGCAACCTGCACTTCATCTGGGGCAAAATACATTACCAGCATTTAACAGGCAGGTAGTTATTCAAGACACTGGGTTCCAATGCACTAAAAGTTGCCCTTCTCAAAAACAAAACAGAACAACATCAAAAACACCCTGAAGCATCCTCAGCTCTCACTGCTGCAGCTGCATGCCAAGCACCAGGCATGACCCAGCTGAAGCTGCCACCCTGAGCAGGCAGCAGCTCTGCTTGGGGAGAAGGTGGGAGGGAAAATAAGACAATAATACCCCTTGTCTGATTTGTAATCACTGAAGACTAATCCCCAGATCCACAACTTCAGATGACACATGGCTAATCTGAAAGCATATTCTTTCAAGAGGAGTCTGGCTTGTGGCCAGTACCGTTCTTATCTACTCTGAGAGGAGGGATCAGGAAAAAGAGAAGAGGAAGAGGAGAAGGAGAAGAAAAGAAACACTGTAAATCTTTCTAGAAAATTTAAACAGATAGATTTCTGGAGTAAAAATATAGAAGGGGTTGATTTGGGAGATCTTGAGATATGTATTAATATTAAAGGTTGAGGTAATAAGAAAAATGGCTATCAATTCCTTGAGTGTTCACATGTGCATTGGTTTTATTACCTCTATAAATCCTTACCATGAGCCAGTACTATCATCTTTATTTTGTAGATGAGGACACTGAGGCTTACAAAGGTAAATGACTTGAAATGTTTCATAAAGCTTTTATGCGGCTCAGCCAGACTTTGAACCCAGGCTGCTGACTCCAGAAGCCCATGCTCCTAACCCCACATTACACTGTTCAACTACTTGGGCTCAGCAATGGGAAGCTACATGGTTACAATTATTTCACTTCACAGGAAAGACAGATTTTCCAATTTTTTCCTCCTCTTCAGTGATTTTTAACTTGATACTACATTAACACCTTCTTTTCAAGAAGAAAAATACGAGTGCTAACACAGTACCTCCTTCTTTGTTAACAACTTTAAAACAATATTTATCTTTAGGACTCCAGAAGGACCCATCCCAAGTCCCATCTGCATCTTATTACTGTGAATTCTTATTTTCTGACCTCTTGCTGCAATATATAAATAAATATTGGCTCACTTTGGATCTCTCCATCTTCACTCTCAGTGCAGTGCACACGTGTTCCTAGGAAAACGGGTCCTGCAGACTAGACATGTTGCACATGGCTCCTAGCGTACTGACGAAACTGCTACTGAAGCCTGGATCTGTTGGAGCATGAGTCACTGATAACAAAGGCAAATGCTGCCTCTACTTGTCTTTCCAAGACACTCAAATGACAGGTGGTTTCTATTTAAGCTTTAAACATACACACACACCACACATTTTATTTACTTTGAAGTGTGTCAGATTCTAGCTGTGAATGGAAAATAAAGTCCTTAATATGATATTACCACAAACTATGCATGCACCAGGCATGAATAATTTAGGGTATACAGCGTTAGAAGTAAAGAGGCTTTAGAAGTCAGACTGGACCACTATCATTTTTCTATTGGTGAAAACTGAACCCCAGTGGGCCAGCATGACTTTCCTGAAGACCCACAATGAGCCACATACAGAATGTCAATACACATAGGTTTGATAGGTTATATATTTATTAAATTTAAATTTGTGCCCAGAATACTTAGGTCCAATTTTGAGGTTTTTGAAATGTCTCCTTTCCAAAACCACAGCAGGTAGAGAGGATTTGGGGATGCATCTACAAGTAAATGTAAGATCCAAGTTGGATCTAAACATAAGGCCAAGTAAATTTAAGAGTGAAAAAGTTGGCCAAATGAAATGGGGTCTTGTAGATGCACATTATTGACGGTAATTAGGACCTTAATTTGTTCTATCACTGGCAGTCTTATTGGAAATTCACACAGGACCTAATATAAACCCTCCCATCCTCTTTGCAATGCTTTCTAAATTCCTGGAAGACCATTTGCTGTTATCTCCATGAACACATATATACCCAAGCCTTCTAAGCAGAAGGACAAAATTATACACCATGTGATCAGGACTATGGAGATGATGTGCCTTCCACGTGCTCTGTGAGTGGCAACTTCATAAACTCTGCTCAAAAGACATCTTAAAAAGTTCTATTGCTCTCAAGTCATATGCTTGCCCACATTTTGACAAAGTATAAGGTTAAATCTATTTTGGAATGGAAGAACATTTAAAAATAATCAGCTAGCACCATGGTTTCATAAAAGAAAATAATAGTTTAACGCTCCAAAATATCAGAGGGACATAATCTCTAAATAAATTTCTTGAGCAAGCGCAGCTGGCAATCTGACATCAACTATATACACACATATACATGTGCGTGCGTGCACACACATGCAACAGACTACAATGTCTTAATTTTGACCATTTTACTCTACATTCAAGCAATCCACAGACAGACATGTGAAAACAACAGGTATAAGAAAGGGGGAACCAGTGAATGTTCCGAGAAGGGGAAGTAACAAGGATAGATTTGCTTAAGAAAGACATGTCTGGTGACAAAGGCAGTGAATTAAGGAGAGTAAAGGAACAGGTTGATAACTCCTATGTTCTGCATATAAAGCATATTCTCCTTTCCCTTAATGGATCAAAAACAATCTAATTGTTCTCATAGATGTATAACACATGTGCCTAATTAAACAATGAGAATGTATATAATCCAGAATTATACTAGGTGATGAATAAAACATGGCAAAGAGTTGGAGATAAGCACCAATAAGGGAGGATCAAGAGGGTGGGGACACCACGGCAGAGAATGGCTAGCCATTTGCCAAACCAGCTTACTCTCCTTCCTGTATACACAATTAAGTCACTTTTCCAAGAGGCCTTTGCAATTAGGTGTGCCACACAACACAGTGGAACTTGAGTGGAAGTGATATGGGGTACTCCCAAGCTGAGAGGGTAGAGAAATAGATATGCCTCTTTCCGCTCCCTGTCCCCATCTGCCAGATGATTACAGAGGACTCTGAGATCTTAGAGATACAGGGATGGAAAGAACCTGGGTTTCTGAATGACTGCGTGGGAGGCTCCTCACCTACCAGGAATACCTGCATTGGATTGTTATGTGAATGAGGAAACAAATGTGCTAGTGTGAAGCCACTATAAGGTTTGGGGTTGTTTGATAGACCAGCAAGCATTACCCTAAAAATACTGTATCCAATTATCATGCCTAAGCTTAAAAATAAACCAGCTTTATTTTTGTTTTTAAATTTAGCTTTTATTTTACATTTAGGGGTACACATGCAGCTTTGTTACACAGGTAAACTTTTGTCATGGGGGTTTGTTGTACAGATTATTTTTCATCACCTGGGTATTAAGCCTAGTACTCATTAGTTATTTTTCCTGGTCCTCTGTCTCCTCCAACCCTCTGCTCAGTGATAGGCCCCAGTGCATGTTGTTCCCCTCTGCGTGTCTATGTGTTCTCATTTAGCTTCCACTTATAAGTGAGAGCATACGGTATTTGGTTTTCTGTTGCTGCATTAGTTTGCGAAGGATAATGGCCTTCAGCTCCATTCAGGTTCCTGCAAAGGACATGATCTCTTTCTTTTTTGTGGCTGCATAGTATTCAATAGTGTATATGTACCACCTTTTCTTTATCCAGTCTACCACTGATGGGCATTTAGGTTGATTCCATGTCTTTGCTATTGTGAATAGTGCTGCAATAAACATATGAGTGCATGTGTCGTTCTGATAGAATAATTTATATTCCTTTGGGTATATACCCAGTAACGAGATTGCTGGGTTAAGTGGTATTTCTGTTTTTAAGTCTTTGAGGAAAGACTGTCTTCCACAATGGTTGAACTAATTTACACTCCCACAAACAGTTTATAAGCATTTCTTTTTCTCTGTAACCTCACTAACATCTGTTATTTTTAGACTTTTTAGTAATAGCCATTCTGACTGATAAACCAGCTTTATTAAGAAATAATTCATATCCTGTAAGTGCATAATTCAATGATTTTTAGTATATTCACAGACTTGTGCAACCATCACTACTATCTAATTCTGGAACATTTTAATCACTCCACGAAGAAACCCTACACCAATTAGAAGTCTCTCCCCATTTCCCCCCAACCCTCCCACCTCCAGGCAAACATTAATCTACTTTCTCTCTTGATAGATTTGCCTATTCTGGACATTTACTATAAGTGGAATAATGCAATATATCTTTTCTGACTCGGTCCTTTCACTTGACACAATATTTTCAAGGCTTACCCTGTTATAATATGTATATGTATCAGTACTTCATTCCTTTTAATTGCTGAATAATATTTCATCTTATGGATATATCGCATTGTAGTTGTCCTTCATTAGTTGATGACTCATGTCAAATTTTTATTCTCTCTGTTGTAGGCTCTTTAAAATATCCTAGCACCACACTGAAGAGGAGACCCTTTTATGTAGGGGCTGCATATTCAGTCTTGTGGGTTATATTTTACCTGAAAATTATGAACTTAAAATCACTCAGAGAGCTTGAAACTACTATCATAAGTTGATGATACACAAAGTCCCTAAGAGTGAAAAAAACAAAAGGGAAGTGCATGTTTTCAAGCATTTGAATTCAAGACTTAAGGACAACATAATGCATTGCAGCTAAACAGCCTGGGAGCAACCTCCATAAGGACATATTTCGGGGAGGAACCCAAGGAACTAAACTGAATATCAACACAAAGCAATTAGGTAGAAATTAGGTATTGCTGGGTCGGGAAAAAAAGTTCATTAAAGGAATCAAGTCTCAGTGTTTCTCTAAAGATAAATCCCAGCTATGCTAAAAATCATTAAATCTTAATGACAGAGTCCATTTGTTGGTGGTGTTTACAAGTGAAATATTAGCATATTTCTGTCACCTGGGAGTTTAGAACTGTGATTATCTTTCCATTTTAGGGAAGTCAAATCTCTGAGATTTATAGGATAGGAGAAAAACAATGCAAGGTAGAAAAATGGTCTTTCTGTATTTCTCTCTCTTTAGGTCATGAGGAGGACATGCACAGAGAAAGGATCCACTCTGCAGGCATTCATTTGACAGGCGATTATCATGCACCTCTTGTTTGTTGGACACTATGGTGGTGCTGGGAGTACAGAGACAGAGAGACATTGGCTTGATAATTACAACAGAATGTAGTGAATCCTGTAAGTGAGTCATAGAAAAAGAAGCAGCTTGAAGAAAATGACTAATTCTGGCCAAGATGTTTGTCCCAATGGAAAATATTTTGTGCTATGACTTTAGGGATGAGTAAATTTGTCACCTGAGAAGAAGGGCAAGGAAATTCTGGACAGTGGGAATGGGATTCACAAAGACTTGGAGTCATGAAAAGGCATATGGTGGGTTTAGGAAAAGGAATGTTAAGCAAGGAAGAATCATGGGGAATGCAGAAATAGGTCAAAAACTAGTTTGGGGCCATTTTATAAAGGGACTTGAATGGCAAGCTTATGAGCTTAGATTGTGTTCTGTAGCCAGCAGAGAACTTGCAGATTATTTTTAAGAGTTACATGACTGAACAATTTTAAAAATTTTACTCTTTAAACAAACATGAAGGAGAGTAATATAAAAATTACCCTCTGTACATCAAACACTCAATTATCAAGATGAATGATTTTAAAGCAAATCTCTCACCTCACGTCATTTCTAGATATGTGCATCTGAATTTGTTCTTATCCAACCACAATCAGTTTTCTAAGCTAACTAAATTAAAAATATTTTATTGGCATCATTTAATCAGGTCTACATTCATATGTCTCATATCTTTTTAATAGTATGTTTGCTCAAATTGGGACCCCAATCACTGTCTCATGTTGTACTAGGTTGTAATGATTCTTAGAGATCTTAATTGAGAGCACTTTCTCTTCCCTCCACCTTGTTAACGTTGAGTTACTGGAGAAACCTGATGTAATGTCCTAGGACCTTTTCATATACTCCATTTGTCTGTTTGCTTCCTTTTTGGTTTCATTTAACATTTTCTTCTACCTTTTCTGTTTCCTATAACTTGTAGTTTACTCTAAAAGGCCTAATCCAATTCAACTTTAGTTTGTTAAGGGCAGGAATACTTCCCAGGTGGTGCTGAGTACTTTATATTGCATCCCATTGGGAGGCACTTATCTGGTTGACCCACTCACAGTTACACTAAGATTTATCATCAGATTTATTTCCAAGAGGATGATTTTACAAATGCTGTATGGGATGTGGACTATGGTCAAGCTACTTTGGTAGCAGGGAGATCAGGAATTACAGTCTTATAGGGGAGATGAAGTGGATATGACCTGAGACAGGAATAGCAAAGAAACAGAATGACAGACCCAAGCAATAATTCTCAAATTGAATTATTGGGAGACTGGAAATTTACTACAAGTTTAAATGGAGGATGGAATCATGGTGGGTGAGCAAGTGATGAGGACAAAAAGACTAAGCTCCATGACAGTAGGGAACTACATATGTTTTGCTCAATACTAAATCCTTAGTGCTTAGCACAGTGCTTGGTATACAGTAGGCACTCAGTAAATATTTGCTAAATACATATATAATGAATGATTTGATGGATAGATGGCAATGAAATTTCTAAAATAGGAAACTATTGGATATCACACTATTAACAAAGATCAAATAGTTGGGAAGAGGATATGAAAATTCCTTCAAATTTAACTTACCTGCAAGACATTTGTCTATTGACTATTAGTGCCTTAGGAAAATGCTTAACATTGTAAAGTATTTTACACAGTTCACAGCCCAGGAATGTGCAGAAAGACCCAAATGAATCTGAGTGTACTCTTTGGAATGCATACCTGGATTATAGCAATGGAGGAATCAACTTTGTTTTCCCTCTACACCCCACTTCCAAACAAAACAGGGGAAGTTTCAAAAAGTTCCTAGGATGATAATGGCAGAATTTATGCATGCTCACTGATGGCATTTCACATAGTGAAATTAAGACTATTAAAAATAATAATAGAACAAAACCAAAAAATGTTTTATTGAAAAGATCAATAAAACCTATAAGCCTCTAGCCAGGCTAGCTAAGAAAAAAAGAGAGACATCGTAAATTACTAATATCAAAAGTGAAAGAGAGGACATTACTACAGATTCTATGGACATTAAAAGGATAATTAAGGAATATGATAAACTTCTCTATGCCCACAAGTTGATAACCGAGATCAAATGAACCAATTCCTTGAAAGACAAAATCTGTCAAACCTCACATAAGAAGAAACAGACAATTTGAATAAGTCTATATCTATTATAGAAATTGAATCAATAGTTGATAACTTTTAAAACAGAATGCACCAGGCCTGGATGGATTCATTGATTAGTCTTACCAAATATTTAGAAAAGAAAATTTTCTAATTTTCTATAATATTTTCCAAAAAATAGAAGAAAGGATATTTACTAACTCATTTATGAGGACAAAACCAAAAACATTGTAGGAAAAGAAAACTACAGACCAATATATCTCATGAACACAGATGTAAAAATTCTCAATAAAGTATTAGCAAATCAAATCCAACAATGTATAAAAAAATTATATACCACAACCAAGTGGGAATTACACCAGGTTGGCAATGCTGGTTCAACATTTGAAATATGTTAAATAAATGTTAAACTAAAATAATCCATTACATCAACAGGCTAAAGAAGAAAAATCACATTCTTAAATCAATAGATGCAGAAAAAGCACCTGACAAAATCCAACACCCATTTCTGATTAAAAAAAAATCTCAGTAAACTAGGAATAGAGGAGAACCACCTCAATTTGATAAAGACTATCTACAAAAAACCTACAGCTAACAAAGCATTATGCTTAATGGGGAGAAACTCACAGCTTTTCTACCAGGATCAGAAAGAAAGCAAGGATGTTCTCTCTCACTACTCCCTTTCAACATTGCACCAAAGCCCTTTCTAATGCAATAAGACAAAAAAAGGAAATAAAAGAGATACACATTGAAAAGGAAAAAATAAAACTCTTTCTCTCTGGGTACCTCATTCTCAAGTTTCACCATTTGGAGACTGTAGCCTCAGGCTTGTATCCTTCCAGGTATAAGCTCAGGAGAAGAGATCAAGTACCTCATCCCATACAATTCTCATAATTCATTCTTATTTAACCAGTTTGAATAATACCTGCATTCCTGAGCATATTGCTGAGGTCTTTTTATTTTTTTCATGAGCATCATCATTTATTATTCTGACTGGCCAGGTCTGTGCCACATGCTCTGTGCTATATGGGGTAGCAGCTAGTTCCCAAGAGAAATTTTGGATACTATTACTAAAAAATAGTAAAAGCTCCCTCAATACCTAGTTTATTGAGAGTTATTAACATGAAGGGATGTTGAATTTTATCAAAGGCCTTTTCTGCATCTATTGAGATAATCATGTGGTTTTTGTCATTGGTTCTATTTATGTGATGGATTACATTTATTGATTTGCGTATGTTGAACCAGCCTTGCATCCCAGGGATGAAGCCTGCTTGATCATGGTGGATATCTCAAAATAATAAGAGCTATTTATGACAAACCAATAGCTGATATCATACTAAGTAGGCAAAAGCTGGAAGCATTCCCTTTGAAAACTAGCACAGGACAAGGACGTCCTCTCTCACCACTCCTATTCAACATAGTATTGGAAGTTCAAGCCAGGGCAATCAGGCAAGAGAAAGAAATAAAGGGTATTCACATAGGAAGAAAATAAGTCAAATTGTCTCTGTTTGCAGATGACATGATTCTATGTTTAGAACACCCCATCATCTCAGCCCAAAAACTCCTTAAGCTGGTAAGCAACTTCTCAGGACAAAAAATCAATGTGCAAAAATCACAAGCATTACTATACACCAACAATAGAAAAGCTGAGAGCCAAATCATAAATGAACTCCCATTCACAATGGGCAAAAAGAGAATAAAAACCTAGGAATACAGGTAACAAGGGACATGAAGGACCTCTTCAGGGAGAACTACAAACCACTGCTCAAGGAAATAAGAGAGGACACAAACAAATGGAAAAACATTCCATGCTCATGGATAGGAAGAATCAATATTGTGAAAATGGCCATACTACCCAAAGTAATTAATACATTCAATGCAATTCCCACCAAACTACCATTGACATTCTTCACAGAATCAGAAAAAACTACTTTAAATTCCATATGGAACCAAAAAAGAGCTCATATAGCCAAGACAATCCTAAGCAAAAAGAACAAAGCTGGAGGCATCATGCTACCTGACTTCAAACTATACTACAAGGCTACAGTAACCAAAACAGCATGGTACTGGTACCAAAGCAGACATGTAGACCAAGTGAACAGAACAGAGACCGCAGAAATAACACCACACATCTAAAGCCATCTGATCTTCGACAAATGTGACAAAAACAAGCAATGGGGAAAGGATTCCCTATTTAATAAATGGTGTTGGGAAAACTGGCTAGCCATATGCAGAAAACTGAAACCAGACCCCTTCCTTACACCTTATACAAAAATTAACTCAAGATGGATTAAAAACTTAAATGTAAAACCTAAAACCATAAAAACCCTAGAAGAAAACCTAGGCAATACTATTCAGAACATAGGCATAGGCAAAGATTTCATGATGAAAATGCCAAAAGCCATTGCAACAAAAATGAAAATTGACAAATAGGATCTAATTAAACTAAAGATCTTCTGCACAGCAAAAGAAACTATCATCAGAGTGATCAGGCAACATACAGAATGGGAGAGCATTTTTGCAATCTACCCATCTGACAAAGGTCTAATATTCAGAATCTATAAGGAACTTAAACAAATTTACAAGAAAAAAACAACCCCATCAAAAAGTGGGCAAAGGATATGAACAGACACTTTTCAAAAGAAGACATTTATGCAGCCAACAAACATATGAAAAAGAGCTCATCATCACTGGTCATTAGAGAAATGAAATCAAAACCACAATGAGATACCATCTCACACCAGTCAGAATGGTGATTATTAAAATGTCAAGAAACAATAGATGCTGGAGAGGCTGTGGAGAAATAGGAACATGGAACCAACTGAAATGCTCATCAATGATAGACTGGATAAAGAAAATGTGGTATGTATACACCATGTTATACTATGCAACCATGAAAAAGAATGAGCTCATGTCCTTTGCAGGGACATGGATGAAGCTGGGAGCCATCATCCTCAGCAAACTAACACAGGAACAGAAAACAAAACACTGCATGTTCACACTCATAAGTGAAAGTTGAATGATGAGAACACATGGACACAGGGAGGGGAACATCACACACCGGACCCTGTTAGGGGGTGGGGGGCAAGGGGAGGGAGAGCATTAGTACAAATACCTAATGCATGTGGGGCTTAAAACCTAGATGACGGGTTGATGGGTGCAGCAAATCACCATGGCACATGTATACCTATGTAACAAAACTGCACTTTCTGCACGTGTATGCCAGAACTTAAGGTAGAATAAATAAATAAAAAAGAGTAAATGCATCTGAGGAAGGCAAAAACAATAAAACATTCTATGTTTTATACTATATTTTCATAGCTATCATGTTTTCATTATTATCCCCACATGACAGATGAAAAACTAGACCCATCGAGTGGTATGGTTAGGACTGCAATTCAGGTCAACACACTCTTAAATGGTGCTATTCCACTGGACTAGATTCTGCTGCATACGAGGATTAATATTCATTACTCAAAAAGTGATAGAAAGAACTCATCCCACAGAAAAAGTGCATTCTTTTCTTGATGGAAAAAATAAAAGGTTTTGGAGGCAAATATATAAAAGTTACCTTTTCCAAATTATTAGTTGTTATTAGTCTCTGAAACAAAAATGATGGATGGAATAAGAATCAGTGCCTAAGAAAGTTGATGGCCCCTAGGGATCACTCTTGCTCATTATTCACATCGATCTTTAAAAGATCTTATAATGCAAATAGCAAATAAACTGACAGACTGTGTTGAGGTGGGTTGTTTACCGCTAGGGAAACCACCCTGGTGTTCCTCTAAAAACAGGATTTACAGTTTCTGGTTGTTCCAACATATTCTAGCGGAATGGTTAATTTCTCCCAATAAAAGTAAGACATTAAGTGAATATATCTTTCATTCAGTGTAATGGCTAGTTTGGGTTGAATCTAACTGAAGCCGTAAGGACCTAAAATATTTTACTTGAAATAAAATTTACTATTACATGGGCTGGCAAATGAGAATGAGATGACTGCTTACAATTTACACTACACTTGATTTCAGTATTTCCTGCTTTCTACTTTCTTCTAGAAATATAACATAGTAGCATTAATAATGTTTTTCTTGAAAACCTACACTTTATATTCTACAAGAGCGAAGGCAATTCTTAGTGTACTCACCACCCAGTGCCAACACAGAGTCTAGCACAGGGAGGTGAACAAAAGTGTGTTGAATAAATGTGTAAGCAAATGATTTATTTAACTTAGAGGAGCGAGAGTCTTCTAGCTTTTGGATTCCACCGTGACCAGCTTTTTCTGGAAATCTAAGCCCAAATTTCAGAAAGTCTTTTCCAATACAACCTCCAATTTTAGAAATCTCTCTCTCTTCAGAGGTACTTTCTGCTCATACCTCTCTCACTTGGAATTTTTTTACTGCCTCATCGTTTTCATGTATAGCTCTATTGTCCCCAATTAATCTGTAAGTTTCTTGATGCCAGAAACCTTGGTTTATCCTTTTTATGCCCCTTACCCCTTAATACAACTCTAACATAATTAAGTTTGAATTTCTACTCATTTCTGATAATGATGACAGTTTTTGTAAAGACATCCCAAGAGTAACATGGTAAGATGTTTCAAACATAAAATAAATGAAAATCAGGCCATCAAAAATAAGAGCCCATATAAATGAAAGAAAAGGGATAAATTATTTCAGAATTAGTTAGAGTATTATACCTGGGCAATAAATTTGGTTACAAGTTTTCTAGCACTAAACTGAAAAGGGAGACACCCAAATTACATGTCAGATGACAATGCATTAGCAGAAACGTTTTTCCCCAGACATGGAACTCAAGTAGAAATTTACTGGGGGAATCACTGTAGCACAAAGCAAACTGGCAGTGGAGTCAGGGGGTCCTGGTTTTACATCTACTGTCTGCCCCCTTCCAGATTGTATGACTTCGGGCCAGGCACTTAAGCTCTCCAGACCTCAGTTTTTCTTCATTTGGAAAATGAGGACTGATCATTATAAGCCCCACAGGGTTATTGTAAGAAGTGTTACTATTACGCTAGTTACATAACAAAAATACTCACTAGTACTATTGCAAGCTTACTGTACCCCAGACATGAAGTTGAGGACTCTAGGTGTAAAATCTCATTTCCCTGTAAATTCCTCCTTGGGAAGGAGGGGACTGAAGTAACTACCCTAAAAGCCCACAGATAGTAGATTGTGTGATTCTTGGTGACCACTAGATCAAAGTTAGTTTCTTTACCTTTGTGTGGACTGGTGAACACCTCCTACCATTACATTTTTACAAAAAGAATAACTGATGCAGCATGATTTCCTGCTTGTATTGTCTGCTCACGACTGCAGGGCATCTTTGGGCTGTATGTGGACCAGTGTAAAGAGGAAATGGCAGATGACACAGACATCCTAACTATCTCAAGAATCACATGAAATATATGTATTTCCACGCCTGCTTTGCTTGTGTACATTTGTTTATATTGGTCAGGTCAAACCACAGCTTCCTCTGACTCAATGTCACTGAATTTTCCCTGGTTACTGGATACAGTAACATATTGCCTAACTTCATCCGGTCACTCTCTGCTTCCAAGGAGATCTTAGTTCCAGATGAGGCATAAGTCATGACAGCATTTTACCATGTTAGTGAATTATAGAAGAGTCAATGGACTGAGCCTGAGGAGACCTGAGTTCAAGTCCAGGTATGCCACTCCTTAGCCATGGGACATAGGGAAGGTCATTCTGAAATCACCATTGATAGAGTGAGTCAGCTGAACTAGTTTAGTCGTTTCCAAATTGCTTCTTTAGAGATCTGTCTCAGAGACTATTACAGCAGGGTAAGGGGAAGATTAAGATGTTTTCAACTCCTAACTTCAATCTAAGCCGCTCCAATTTTATCAGTTTTTGTTTATTGAATGTTGACTTTAATTTGGTTTAAGAAAGGGCTTCTGACCTGTTGAACTATATGATTGCTTACAGTCTGGGTTTAACAATCTCTGGACACACATCTATTCATGGCAGGACTGGCTGCCCTAGATAGGACCTCTGCGTTACAATTTGCCCCTAACAGTAAGGGATAGTAGCTTTCTAAGAGTTAAGGAAGAGACATTCATCTTTCTCTTTGCTAGCTTCTGAAAATAAGTCAAGTATTTCAAATGATATTCTTTCTCTTCAACTACCACAGGAAGACATTGGTTAGAAGGGAGATCAGATGAACTGGGAAATTATTTACTGCTTCCAGCAAATTACTTGGGTGGAGGGGGGTGGGGGAACAAACTCTTTCTCCCCTTTAGCACTGCTGGGAGGAAGTAAACAAAACATTCCATCCGATGTGATTCAGAATTTCCCAGCTGCTAAGCCAATCAGCCTGCTGGAGAACTCTAAATCACTAGCACTTTCCCAAAACATCATCAAAGCACAGTCTTCCCTTGTGAAGAGATAGGAGCCGAGTGGATGGAGAGCCAGGGTCACAGTCAGGAGATCTGGTAGTTGTCTTTCTTCCCCTTCACCTTGGTGGAATCGGGCAAGTCACTCTCTTCTCTTGTCTTGGTGACCAAATCTGTTAAAGGAAGGCTCTGGACTAGATTTGTGTCTTGAAAGTTTCTTCTTGCTGCAACATGGCATGTTCCTCCAAATAACCCGGGAGTCAGACAGAGGGACAGCTCCAAATCCTCTGGCCTTATGTAACACTTTGCAGTATTAAAGTAGAAGTACCTCCCGTGCCGGCCCTGAGACACACTGACCCTCCCCTATTATCCCAAGGTTTACTGGGTGGGTTGTATCCCTCTTAGGCATCTCTTGTTCAGATTGTGTATTTATACCAAATTCTTGATGTTGTGGTTTTCCTCTTGTAGCTGATTTTTTTTTCTCTTTCTACTTCATACTAATGTTTCCAATAATTCAGGGCAATGCTCTTGCCTCCCTGTTTTTTTCTTCAATTTCTTATAAATACCACATGCAAGAGAGTGTGAGTAATAGATTTTAACAACAGCAACAATAAATATGGAATAACAAAGGATTACATTACAGCAAGGCAGATAACATTTTAAACATTTCTATTCTTAAAAATCACAGGCCATTATTATCACAGAGAACCTTTCACCTGCCAAATTGCCTGGCCCCTCTGTGCATCACCTTGTTCCAGAACCTTGCTCATGCTCCTCCTTCCCGTGTCCCCTCCTGGGCAATTCCTAAATACTTAAAATTTTCCAACTTCCTTTTGTAGAGCAATTCAATTTTTTCTTTCCCCTTGATTTTCCTTGGCTCTGCCCAGGGGCAAGTTTTCCACATCTAAGAAGGCCCAAAGTATTTTTGCTAAAGAAAAAAACCAAAACAAATAAACAAATTGAGCAAGAAGTTTCGGTCCTAAGCATATTCTGCCGCTGGTGGTAAAATACTTTGCCACCCCTCCTTGGTGAATGGAGGGAACCTACCCACTAGTCCTCTTTGTCTTTTCTCAGCTTCGTGCTTCCACTGCAGTCTCTATCCCAGTCTTTATTGTTCATATACTCCCTCTTTTGCATTCCCCAGAATTCTTCCCTGCTATTGTTTCAATCCCTTCTAAAATTCTATCAGATAGAGAATTTCCCCCCTTTGCAGAGAAGAATTTTATCTCCCTGAAACCCTCATCTAGCAAATATTCTTCTTTTAAAATTTCCTCTAATATCTATTGCATTTGGAAAAATGAAATGAAAAATTAAAACTAGCTGTTGTGCAGAGTCTAGATTAGAAGTTGCCGCTCTCCAAAATTGCAAAGGAAGGGACCATGTCTACCCTGTCTGTCATATACTCTGGCACTCTGCTGGGTACTTAGCACATAGGAGGTGCTCACTAATATATGTCAGTGAATGAAAGCCAGATTTTTTTTTTTTGGCTAAAAGAAACTCCCACACCTATTTAAACTGATACAGAAGAAATCTTCGATTTGGGAAGTCAGGAGCTGTTAGATGTATGACTACTGCTATCTGTGACTCAAGATTTTATCAGGAATGGGCAACCAAAAGCAAAATGATGAAAACGGGAAGCAAAATTTAATCCTGGTGTATTTTAACTGGTCTTGTTTGTGGACTTTATTGTAACTTTTCTATAACGCTGAATGTAGAAATGAGTACTAATAAAACATATATCTGTTTCAGACATTGGCCTCCCCTTTTAATATTCCATTTGAATAAAAGGCCTCTGCTATCTAAAGCAGTAACAATGTCAGTTGAAGACTATGACATCGTAGTACTTGAGGGGCAAGAGAGTCCGACAGGTGGGACCGAGTGTCTTCCTCATTTGTGCCATGAATGTAGTATTTTACTTTGCACCCTACCAGAAGCACCATGTTTTAGCAAGCTTCTATAAAGCAGGTACTTCTCGTGAGACAATTAATGCCTTAATTCTGTTCAGTTCAATATGAGAGTGCTCTGTAGACTCTAATTTCGATTGAATACTTATTAGTACCCTTTTAAACATATCTCTTCATTTTCTCAAGTTCTGCTATGTTCTATGGATCACAATCTCTGACTTCCCACACATTTTCTGATATAGAGTAGATTTTTTACCATGCTTATTGACCAAACTGAGGGAAGGGAACAAGGGGTAGTGGAAAGATTGTGAACAAGTCATTTAACACCTTAGTCTATGTATGCCCATATCAAAAGTAGCATAAAGTTAAGCATGTGAGAGTCTACTTGACTGAGTTCCAGTCTCAATAATGCCACTACCAAACAAAGTGAATGTCACTGAGCAATTTAATTGATCTTTCTGTCCTTCAGTTTTGTCATCTGTAAAAGGAGAAAAATTATATTTCTGTGACTTGTTTTGAGGCTTCAATGAGACAATGCCTGTTGGGTAGCCAGAACAGTGTCTGGCACATAGTAGGTGCTCAATTAATGTTAGTTATTATGAGTTAATAATAGCTGCAATATTATCTAATCTTTCAGGGTTGTTTGGGGGACTAGAGAAAATATGTGTAAATACAGGTGCTACTTCATGGAAGAAGGCATATAAAAATATAAATGTGTTAACACTTACAACGGGCTTACTCTATGCTAAGTGCACTTTTCTTTATATGCACGCTTAACATTCACAAAGGCCAAGAGAGGTAGATGCTATTCTTATCCTCATTTCACAGAAAAGGAAACCAAAGCATAAAGCTTAAGAACTTGCCTAAGGTCACACAGTTAGTGGCATAACTGAGATTTAACCCAGGTAGTTGGGCTTCAGAGTTTGTGTTTTTGTCCAACATGTTGTCCTGCTTTCTTTTTTTAAAAAGTAACATTTATTAGTAAATATTTATTAGTAAATGAGGAAAAAGTTACACTCAATGCATCTCTTGTTATAGGAATTTATGTCAAGAAATAAATTCTCTTAACGCACTTTTAAAAGTAGTTTTTGGCAGTTCACTGGGTCTCCCAGGAATGTTATTAAGAAACCTGGTTGTTTTTTAATTGCTTATGGTAAAATTTATCCATAATTGCTTACTGTAAAATTTATCTAGTGTCTAAACAGAGGAAACACATTGTACAATGCTGGCAAAAATCAATCATGAGATTTCAAGGACTGGATCAAGAAAGCGTTGGGCATCAGAGTTCCCTCTATTTGTTTAGGGATGAACTACAAGGATAGAGTGCGGAACTAATGAGGGTGGGCCTGAAAAACATACAGTATTTCAATTAAGTCAAACCAACAACAAAATCAACTGGGTACTTATTTCTGCCCTACATTGTAATTATGCATCAATGATTAGCTTCCCAGTAGAAAGCTGCGGTAAAGGTTATTTTTGCACAGTCAAACTAAATATTTAGAGGTCAGCTTCAGGGAAGAAAAATTCAATGACAGCAAAGAGAAGGGTTTGAGCCTCCAGACCTCTCTGCTGCAGATCTGTGATGAGTTGGTGTATTGCTCTTCTTGAAATAAAGCCTATTTGCTGGGGAGTATATGTGAGTAGACACATACACTATGTTGGTAATTTGCCAACTTAGTACCTATTCTCTCTCCCCTCAGTTATGAGAAATTTCCTCTTTCCAGCCTAATTTAGACTTATTTCAGATATTCATTCCTCTGCATATTTACTTGTTTAAAGGGACATTGACCCCCTCCTCCCTGGCTCCAGCAAGTGGACTCTGATTATCTTCATTAAGCTAAGCCAATCCCAGTCATCCACCCCCCCGGCTAAATAACTGGGTTGGAAACAGACCAGCGACATGAAGTGTGAGATGTTTGCTTGGGGCTTCTGGGAAATGTGTCTGGGTTCTAAACAGAGACACCAGAGACAGCTCCTTTCTGCCTCTGGACATTGTTTTATCTGAAAGTGATGTCCATCACAGTCACAGCCATGTACTGAAGGCAGAGGATGGCAGAGTAGAGAAACGAAAGCCCAGGTCTTTGAAGACATTGCGGAGCCATGTACTCTACTGCTCCTCAAGCTTGCTTTTGACTCCCTCTGCTCTTTCTGTTGTATAAAATAATAAATGTCCTCCTTACCTAAGGCAGTTTGAGTTAGAGTTTTCTCTTCCTCGAAGCACTAAACATTCTAAGTCATAGCATTCATGCATGTGCTTATGTAGGTGTGTGTAGGTATTTGTATTTATAAGATAGGTTAAGCCAGGCTACTTATAGGAAAAGTAGTAGCTCCATAAGTCAGGATAAAACAGGAATTCAGGATCTGCCCTAATATTTGAAAAATGGCAAGCCTGTCAGCTTGCTACCCAAAGTATGAACCAATAGCATCAGCCTCCCCTATAAGCCTGTTAGAAATGCAGAATCACAAACCCCACCCCTGACCTTCTGCATCAGAATATATATTAAACAAGATTGGTACATGTTTTCTGCACACACAAAATTTGAAGAAGCATTGCCCAAGGATGCTTGAGCCCTGGAAGGGAAGCAGGAGAAAGGGGCCCAGCAGTACGGGGTTCCTAAGGATCTCCTGAGGAGCTTTCAAGTTTGCTTAGCATCCTTCTCCTTTCCCTCATCCCCAGATGAAATAAAGGGCATGGAAGTTATTTACACCTGCTAGCCCTTCTCTGGGTTCCCTCCTCTTAAAATTTTTCTCTTTGATTCTTTGAAACCAAATCACAACTCCTGCATGGTAGGATTCTAGAATTATTAATCTGGAACCCAAGTGACAAAGAATGTCTCCCTCTAATAAAATGGATGCTGTAGAAGGTTTTTTTTTTTTCCTAAAAAAAGAGAACTACACACCCACAAAACCAGACATTATTTGTGAATTCAACTTGAAGTGAGAAAAAACAAACTGAAGGCTAAGCTAACCCACAACTGCCCATCTAGCACAGTGAATATATTAGACTATATAATATAGTCTAATTCTGTGACTTGTTTTGAGGCTTCAATGAGATAATGCCTGTTTGGTAGCCAGAACAGTGTCTGGCACATAGTAGGTGCTCAATTAATGTTAGCTATTATTAATTAATGATACTCGCAATACAACATAATCTTTCAGGGTTGTTTAGTATTATATACTTTCAGTATTATACACTATGTAATATAATATATAGTCTAATATACTCACTGTGCTAGATGGGCCGTTGTGGGTTAGCTTAGTCTTCAGATTATGTAGCCAGGCAGGACTGGCTACAAAATCTGTGGAGCTTGGTGCAAAATGAAAATGCAGGGCTTCTTGTCAAAAATTATTACAAATTTTAAGAAAGTGACGGCAGAGTATTAAACCAAGTGTAGGGCCCCTCTAAGCATGGGCCCTTATGTGCAGATTGCAGACCCATGAAGCCAGCCCAACTCTCAGGGTAAAATGAGCAAGAGAGAGATGAATGCCATTGTCTCCAATTTTGGAAAACCTGGAATCAAGATAAATTGTCATTGGAACAGGTCTATAACGGCTTCATGGTGAATAAGACTCTGTGATTAAAACCAGTCATACTAAATATCAGTTATTCATTCACGCTTACCACATCGAAGGCATACTGATAGTTTCCTGGAAGCAAGTTTTTTAAAAAAGTGTTTCCCATTCCCCATCCTCGCAGAGCTCATGCTCCAGCAGGCAAACTGACATGCAAACAGGCCTACCATATAAGGCATCTGATTGTTACAATGGAAGAATTCAAAAAGTATTAAGTATTTAAAACTGAATCACAAATCCACAAAGTGTAAGTGTCTTCTATAGATTAGTGCATTTCCACTTCTAACAAAAGTTAATTTCAGGTGTGGCACAATTCATAAATTAGGCCAAGAAGTAGACTGTTTTTGGTAACAATAGGTGAGTTTCTGGTTGGGACATTATTTTGCCTAATGGAAATTTTGTCTAGCCTGTGCTTACCTATTTCTCTCCACATGAAATCTGATAATTATTCCTCCTTTTCGTTACCTACTCCTCCCTAAACATTTATCCCAATCCCATTGCCAGAGGTGTGCAGACCAAATGAAGTGACCCAGTTCCCTGATGTGTTTGGAGAATGCTTTGTATGTTCTGTCTAAGAGACCCAAACATGTGTAGGAGAGGATAGAGAAATCCGAGTTTAATGTCAGGCTCAAGTTAAAGGGAAAAAAAATAGGCAGTTTACTTTAGACCTTCCAAAGCCCAGCAATACTGAGCAATTTTCACATTTTCAAGCATCACATCCAATTAACCTTTTGCAGAAAATTCTGATTCAGGCTGCATTTGATTAGAGCACTTGATTTATTAGCAATGTCTGCTCTGAGTATGGAATGGGAAAATTCCAAAAGCCTTATGTCACAATCATTTGTACAAAAATCTAAAGCTATTTCACTGATTCAGAAATAGAGTTCACCCTTGACATTGGACAAGAATCCCTAAATTATAATTACTACTCTAGAAAATAACAGACCTGTTGAGATGTGGATGCTGGGCACTGAGCTAGGTATATTCTCTGACTGACCCTCACCTAAACCTCTGCATCCCTAAGTGGATGATTCATAGTCACATCTCAGGGTACCTACAAATTACTCCTTGTTGTGATCCTAAAGCGCATTGTACAAATACAAAAAATCTGAATGTTAAACTTGTAAATATCAAGGTACTATTATAATTGTTGTTTGTCAAGCAAGAATTCAGAAAACATAATTCAACCAGGCTGACATTCTCTTAAATAACTGGCATTCAGTGACTAAGAGCTAGGCTTTTCTAAGGGAAAAGCTTTCAAGTAGAGCAAAAATATTAAGGTTAACTAACCAATGGGGGGACAGTTTGAGATATTTTGTATTACAGATCATTTTAGCCATGATGGGTTCACTCACCCTTTAAAGAATACTTTCTGATCTCCACGCTCATTTGAACAGGGTCCAGTTGGCATCAGAAGTAGGGCACCTTGCACAAATCATCCCATGACTTGTAGGTGGGGGTGGGGGATTCTGGAGACTTGGTTTTTGAGGGTACCAGTGACACATATCCAAGGCCATGCTTTGCAAGAAAGCCGGGCACACAGCCTGCCCTCCTCCAGCTCCATTGCAAGCCTGGAAGCAAGTCTGCACACGCTTTTGTGAATTTGAACCTACGTCAAGTTGAGCCAACTCAATCAGTGGGGAAATACAAATGCCCACTTCATTTTCATTCAGCTGATCAGAGGCTTGCAGTGAAGAGCTGCCTAGGACAGCTTGCCAGAGAAGCTCCAGGAAGTAGGGCTTCCTTAAAGAAGGCACATCCTGCCGTTAGCCTTGTGGCATTTCAGAGGGCCCGCGAATTCAAAGGAAAAAAGGAGAGCTCCAGCTAGGGTGAAGTTGTCATCACTGAGGGCCAAAACACAAGAGCAGACCTATTTATAAGCAGCCAGTAGAGCATATCACCGGGGATTATGAATAAGCAAGAGCTGAATCTAAAGAGCTGTCCATTCCTAATAAGATGATTATATTATGCTCCATTGACCAGAGAGGCTGACTTAGGAGCTATTTTTGTTTGTTTGTTTGTTTTAGTCTTGGCATTACTCTGGTGAGATACTCAATATTTTCCTGTGTTTTGCAGTGATGTGAGAGGTAACATAGAATAATGCTAATGATTGCACATCTGTAGCCAGAATCGCGGGGTTCAAATCCTGGCTTAACCATGTTCTAGCTTTCTTAACTTAAGCAAGTTACTTAACCTCTCTGAATCTCAGTTTTCACATCAATAAATTGGGGATAATTTAGCACTTACCTCATACTGTTGTAAGTTTAATGGGAACAGTATGGATAATGCACTTGGAACTGGGCCTGATACATAGGTAGTGCTTTTTTCTCCTCTACCCTGTAAGAGATATGGCCAGAGCTAGGATTCATCCAGGTCAACACCTTCTTATAGTTTCATTGATTTTGGTCTTCCTTAAATGGATGAAAACAAAGCAATTCTCTGAAACTACAAGACCATATAGCTGCTAAATCGATGCCATTGGGGTTTAGAAAATTCTGACATGAATTGGGCTGCATTAGTCAGGGAAACCTTTGTGGAAAGGAGTCATTTGTTAATTCAACCAATATTTACTAAGCTTTTATTATGAGCCTGGGATTGTACTAGTGCTTGGGATACATCCCTCTTGATGAACAAGAGGGACAGGGCTCTTTTCTGTACTTGGGCTGGGCCATGAAAGATTTGGAAGAATTAAATGAACAGAGTTGCAGAAAACAGCCCTGGTAAAGGTTCAGATATAAGATAAAGATGGTGGATGTGGGAGAACAGAAAATATATTTTGGATAGGTTCTGTTTATTGAAACCCAGAGAACTTGATAACACAAGTGATGGAGAAGGAAAAATGGAGGTTTCAGATGTGAGCAAGAAGTGAGCACTATGTATATGAGGAGGGCACACATGAAGGACTAGGAGGGAAGTTGGGTAGAGCCTGGGAATATGTGCAACTTGAAATCTATTTCAGGATTCCGGGAGTAGCATAATGTTCAGATTTACAGTGGTGGTGACAGAAACAGGGGAAGAAAAATACGGAGAGGCATTCTGAATAGAGCACTGATAGTACTTGGTGACTGAACTTATGAGATAAAGGAGAAAGAAGAATGAAAGATGATTTAATGTTCTCCTAACCAGTTGAGATGATTTAAGCATTAACCTGGCTCCAGATAGAGCATCTCTAAGGTTACTCACTTTAAAGATAATCACTTTTATAGATGCATTGTATAGATGAGTGCCTTAATCAAAACAATATGTTAAAAATCGGTAGCAAAGTTGGAACGATATTTCCAATTTGTGACTCTTTCTATTACAGGTTGAGTATTCCTTATCCAAAATGCTTGGGACCCAGAAGTGTCTTAGATTCTGAATTTTTTCAGATTTTTGAATATTTGCATATGCCTTAGGAGGTATCTTGGGGATGAGACCCAAGTCTAAACACAAAATCCATTTATGTTTTATATACATACCTTATAAACATAGCCTGAAGGTAATTCTAAGCACTATTTTAAATAATTTTGTCCATGAAACAAAGTTTTGATTGCATTTTGACTGTGGCCTATCATATGAGGTTAGGTGTGGACTTTTCCACTTATGGCATCATGTTACCTCTCAAAAATTTTCACATTTTAAGGCATTTTGGATTTCAGATTTTCTAGGATTAGGGATGCTCATCATGTTATACCAAGGGAAAGGTTACAGTAGCATGGATAACATATAGGCAGACTCAAAATTGCATTATTTGCATTGGCTAAGGACCTTATTCTGTCTGAACCTTGGAGAAAGCATCTAATCTCAAAAGATTGTAAAAAGCAAAGAAAAAGATTTTTAACTCAGTAGAGCTCAATGGTTGTTGTGTTCCTTCCTGTCTATACTTGACCCCAACCTCATTTAGACTTTGTGGAGCATCTTGTTCTGAAATTGTATTGACTCATGGGTGAAGGAAACACACATTAAGCAAATACCAGAAGAAAATTCTTGGAGCTGTGTTAGATTCCTTAGAGGATTTGCTCAGTGGTAATGGAACAAAGTATGTTTGGTTGGTACAGGAGACAGGATAATGTAAGCTGTAATGTGATTCAGTGAGAGAGTCACAGATGACTGCCGCATAAACCAAGCAGCAATGAATAAATGAGGCCTGTCCAGACACATCCTGCTGGACACTCAGAAAGTGACCACTGGCAACAGTGTTTCTAAACTTGGATGCCAACCCAAGAGTGCCAGAATGTCAGAGGTGGAAGGAAACTCCAACATCATTGTGACAAACCTATCATTTTACAGATGAAGTCACTGAGGCCAGGAGAGGTTAGTGTAGGAAGAAGGATGCATAGCAAAGTGAAGGGAGCAGCACTAGGAGGTGATGAAGAGCATAGGTATTGAAATCCTGTAGCTCTTAATCAAATTATTTCACTTTCCTTGGTCTCATTTTTTTTTTTTTTTTGACTGGAGTCTTGCTCTGTCACCCAGACTGGAGTGCAGTGATATGATCTTGGCTCACTGCAACCTCCACCTCCCAAGTTCAAGCAATTCTCCTACCTCAGCCTCCCGAGTAGCTGGAATTACAGGTGCCCACCACCACACCCAGCTAATTTTTGTATTTTTAGTAGAAGTGAGGTTTCACCACGTTGGCCAGGTTGGTCGCAAACTTCTGACCTCAAATGATCCACCCACCTTGGCCTCCCAAAGTGCTGGGATTATAGGTGTGAACTACCACGTCCAGCCGTTGGCCTCATTTTTGATGACTTTATTTTTAAAATGAAAAAAAAAATGCCATCTATAACAAGAGGCAGTGAGCATAAATTAAATGCTTCATGAAAAGTTTCGTATGCAGCTGGCTTTGAGGGTCATTCTGAATTCTTCTTTACTGTCTCTGTTCCCCGCATGCATATAAAGTTATCATCTATTCCCCAGTGCCTGACTGTTGTGGTGCAAATGAACAGGAAGCCACCATTCCCCCAGCTTTCTGCCTACCCGCTGAAGACTGCAAGACCCAGTTCAACCGTGACCCAAACATGGAGCTGTCGTCCCAGCATTGTGAATAAGGGCAGCTGGGAGTTGGGGAGATGGGAAGTGCAAGAGTTAAGAGAAAAACAAAACTTGGCTGATGTGTTGGTCTCTGAGGTCCCAGTGGCAGTCAGCCAACTCACTGCTGTGGCCAAGGGGAGCTTGAAAATTAGGGAATGAGAAGCACCTTAAAGGGAAAACTTATCTGCTTTTTCTTCCTGAAGGAAGCGTTTTCCTTATAGTGGTTGAAGTCGTTTTCTCTCTCACCCAAATAATGGGATTTCCTGATGTAAATTACCTCTTATCATGGAAATGTAAACAAAAAAAAGAAGATTAATTAGGCGAGCAATTATTATGTGGCAACCACTAAGCTATGTACTTTATATATGTTAACTTATTTATTCCTCAAAATAACTTCATGAGACAGGTATTGATTTCAAAGCTGAGAAAACAGAAAGTAGAGGCACAGAGAAGAGAAGTAAATTAGCCAAAATAGTGGAGTAGTAAGTGAAATTGGGTTAAGGTGTAAAGTCAAGCAGCCTAGCTCAAAAGGCTGCTGTCTTATCAATGCTTTGCTGCTATATAAACTTGCCTGTGTGAGGGAAGAACAAAGGCAGAGACCACAGAACAGGAGTAACACAGGAAGCAGCAGCAGCACTATGCCAACCAGGTAAGAGAGCAGAAGAAAAGGGGGAGCAGTGTGATGGCGCAAATGAGCACACAGTGCAGAAAAGAAAGGTGAGGTGGAAGCATCAAGGGTAGCATAGCCCCAGAAATTGTGTTGTTAAATGAATTTTCTGAAGTCTGTAAAGACTCTTTCAGATACATAGCCAATAGCCAACAAAGTGGGCATGTCCAAGAACTCAGAGGAGTTGATGAGAAGTGATCAAGCAGCTCCGCATAAAGTCTCCGCTCATGACAAGGGACAAGAACCTCTCCAACTCAGCTTTCTTAACAAGCCCATCATGATGCCTGGTGGTAAACACAGTGGTTCAGAGATCACACCAGCTAGGACCCGGTGGTCCCATCCTGCTCTGCTACTCCCTAGCCGTGCATGGGATCTTGAGCCTCAGTTTCTTCATCTATCAAATGGGATTAAGACTACTCCTCATAGAGGTATGGTGAGAGATAGGTGATCCACCATTTATACAACCCCTCACTCAGAGCCTGGTACACTGATAAGTTGTGCAGAATAATTAATAATGAATATCATTACTACCAACCTTGGGTCATCTTCTATGAGTTAATTTTATCTCAGAATCTACAATCTTGGACTTCTGCACACGTTGGAGGCAGGTGCCTTATATATGGCGTTCATCTATGCAATTGTTTTTCATGCTCTGACTAAAGAATTTATGATGATAACAAGAAACACAACCTGCAAGTAAAAAGGCAACACCTAAGGGCAGTATTTGTATTTGCTGCAGAGTAAACAGCATAAATACTCAATTTCAGGTCTATAAATAAACTTGGAGAGGATTGGCATGTTTTTACATATTTCTTAAATGTATATCTTATTATAGTTATTGAGAGTTGAGCATCTGTTAAGAATATTAAAATCAAAAGAAGTGTTAAGCCTTAACTACAATGAAAGTATTAATATAAAGTTGGGAACTACAACCTTTTCCAAACCACAAAGTCAGAATGACTATATTTTTCATATTAAACAGAAGTCAACTGATGATTGAATTGCCTTTGAAATGCTAAAAAATTTAAATTTTATTACAACTGAAAGTAGGAGATGCGCCCAATAGATTGTTAAGCAAAAGGTGGAAATAGATATCACATTCTAACATAGGAGAATTGCTTTAAGTGCTGAAAATGGCATTGCAAATTTCTCTGAAACATCCAACATCATTCATTAAAGTTTGCTTTATCATACAATGCCACAGAAAACTACAAAGTAAAATATGAGAAACTACAAACCAATCTGATTTAAAATAACCAGAACAAAGGCATCCTTAATAATAGTTTCATTACCTCTTCATCATTTGCTGATGTACCATTGATATGGTGAGTTATAAACTCTCTGAGCCTCAGTTTTCTCATCTATGTAATAGGAACAGTAGGTAAGCATGCTATAATAATCTTAGTTATTATCACTGTCAATTGCTGTGGTGCAGAGAATGCCATTGTTCTGCCCCTATATGGGAATATAGTAAGTTTAAATCCTCAAAGGTAAAAATTAAGAGACACCATTTCTTAGTGTTTCACAATATAGTTTGAGAATCAGATAGATCAGTGTTCAAGTCTATGGTCATACCACCTTGAATGTGCCTGATCTCGTCAGATGAGTTCAAGTCCTAAATATTTGAGCCAGTCATAAACTCTCTGAACCTCAGTTTTCTCATCTGTGTAATAGAAATAATTATCGTAGTATCAATCTTATGAAATTGTTGTGAATATTAAATGAGATAAATGTTTATAGATACTTTAGGAACAATTTCCGGCATGTCGCAGGAGCTCAAGAAATGATAGCTATTTTTATGTTAATAAATCTGAACATGATTTGAATATTCCCTCCTCTTGGGGGAGGGGCAGTGGTAATAGCTGTATCTACTTGTTAAGAGAAACTATGGAACACTTCTTGGATAATGTTATTCTCAGTCTTCTTTTTATTATGCAATATCCAGAGATCTAGGGCTGTTCTGGGGCAGTTATGTTTTGGCAAGTTACAGGGCAAATATCTTTTGGTGAGGTCTAATTAGAGAATGGGAAGAAAAGGAAAGGAAAACTAAAGCCAGTTATGAGAAACTTTAGTAGAAGAGGTGATTCAGGGCTATTGCCTATTAAGAGCTCTTCCTCTCACCAATCTGCTAGGAAAATCAAGAGTTCGCCATACATAGGTGTATGTAACACATATGCACTGACAATATAAAAAATAAAAAATAAACCATAATTTCACAGCCTTTGGTGTGGAGAAATGATGAAGTCTGAAGATTAGATTTATGGCCTAGGACCTAGGCCAGTGGTGAACAAGAAAGACTTTCTCAAGAATAATGAGAAGGAATATCCCTCAGTCTCATAATTCAGCCAGAGCAGGTGCTTATAGAGCAGAGTGGGTATAGCAATGAGCTCTTCAAAAGAACTCAAAGATACTGGGAGGGACTCTTCTTTTCTTTTGGAAAATTCCCTAAAAGATTCCTGCTTCCTTCTGGAACAACAGAGCAACAGGGCAGTTGTGATGTTGGGTTTAGATGACACTTATTTAGGAGATGGAGCAATAAGATCAGAGGTCTTCTAAGGATTCTGGGGAGTCAGTGTATAGATGGAAACCAAAATATGAGTGTGTAGCCCCAGAAACTGCTCAGATAACCTGGTCAGAAACTAGGCAAGCTGGCAGGGGTTGGGAAGCACAGATGTAGAGCACATCAAGGCAAGTGACCAAGAGTATTGTAAAAAAACATTTTGGTATCATCTTGTAGCAAGTTCTGGGGAAGTTCACTGACTCAAGGATATGCACAAGCATGGGGGTGCTGATAATATTAACAATGCCAATGGCAGTGGTAATAATAAGGATAACATGAGCAATTGAATGTAAAAGTAACAGGAAATATGTTTGACTCTACACACACATAGTGTCATTTAATGCTTGCCACTTTGACTTACTCTCACCTTACCAGGTTAGGTCCTTATTTAAAAAGCTCTTCGAGAATCCCATTCAACGCTTCCTTCACATAACTTTGCTCACTTATAATCATTTAGTTATCTGTGTTATTTTAATGTCATTGTCACTAAACTGTAAGCTTCACAATGTCTGTTTCATGAGGTTTGCTCACTATGTACATCTAGTACCTAGCACAATATTTGAAACCTCAATAAATAGTTGCTGACAAGCTTGTAATTTGTGATAGCTTAAAAAGGAAAAAAGAAGAAAAAAGAAAGAGAGGAAGCAAGGAAGACAGGAGGAAGGGAAGGAAGGAAGGAAGGAAGGAAGGAAGGAAGGAAGGAAGGAAGGAAGGAAGGAAGGAAGGCAGGTAGCCAGAAGGAGCTTAAGCTCAGGCTTGCCCAGGGGGGCACAGCCAGCAAGTCTCAGAGTTAGGATCTGAACCCAAGTGTTTTTTAACTTTCAAGCCTGTGCATTTAGCTGCTATATTACATAAGAAATTATAAAAGAAAACTAGAGGCCTGTTCCTGTCCCAAAGGAAACTAGACCAGGAACAATTCCCACCTACAGGAAGCCTTGCATATATTTTCATCTTGGGTAAAAATGCAATTTAGGGCATAGTAAGTTTTGGCACCTGCAGGTAGGAAGAGAGGGCTATGAATTGGAGAAGTGCACAGGTGAATCTAGTTAAGGTGAACAGTAGGTATCTCAGTAGATGACATTCAGAGAGGACACAAAATCTTTTAATGGAAACATTTGGAGAGAAAAATGAAACATGGAGAGGTCAACCTCTGTCAACAGTAAGATCTCTTAAGTATTTCTATCTTTCTGATCTGGCCTAGAGAGAAAAAGCCTCAGTGACGAAATGATAAAAGCCCCCCTAATAAACAAACTGATTCAGTATCAGAACGGCTATCAAATAATTGAAGTGCTTCAAAGCCATTTAAAAATAAGTACATAAAAAAAGTGCATGATACCCTTGGATCTCTAATATCTTCATTTTTTTCAGCTGTCAGCATGTCTCTGAAAAAGCCTAATGCCAGAACCGTTTGGGTTAGAAAGGGTTTATTCAATAGCTAAATTAAACCTTCACTTTGAGCCTACCGACCTCAATAGTGATGGTGCCAATGAGTGGCTTGGGGGAGGGCACCACCATCCCTTCCAATCTCCATCAGCTTTCCCACAAATAAACATAAAATTTAAATAAAATCAGAATATTTATTACTCAAACACAGATTCAAGACAATCCCTCCTCCTCCTCAAAAAAATAAAATAAAAAATAAAAAAAGCTAGAATGCCATCTGTAGCTACTAAAGTCCATCCGACAACCCAAGTAATTGTCTAAAGATGCAAGCAAAAGCATGACCTTCTCCTTCACCCTCTCCGGTGGCTTTCCATTGCTTCAGAATCCATTCCAGATCCACCTCCATTGCTCATAAAGCCCTGCCTGATGTGAATCTCCTGTTCTTCTCTCCTGCCTCTGTTCCCTTCCTCACTGGTCTCTGGCCATGCTGGCTTCCCTCTTGTCCTTGAGTTCACCAAGGCCCAGGCACTTCACCCTACTGTTTTCACTCCTGAAATGCTGTTCCAGAGCTTCATGGGTCACAAGGTATAGGGGTCTCAGTTCAAGTGCCCCTTCTCAGAAAAACCTTCCATTACCACTTAAAGTAGCCTTCACCGCCACCCCTCCCATTCTCCACCACGATTCCATTTTGCCTCTTTCACTGATTTTACCGTAATCTGAGATGATCTTGTTCATTCATTTGGTTTGTTAATCTTGTGTCCTCATACTTGAACTCAGGCTCCATGACAGCAAGATCTCTATGTGTCTTGCTCGCCTGTGTCTCACACCTAGACCCCTGGCTAGCTCATCGCCTTGCACTGTCACTACAACACTTCCTATGTGTCTTAGTTAAAATTTGATCAAGAGTGCGACGAGCTCTGTTCTTCATTGTGCCAACTTGAACTGGGTTGCCATGAAGACAGAAGATAGCAGGAAACTCAAGAGAAGAAATCCAGATGAAATCGTTTGATCTGGCATTTGGATAAAGAGGATTAGACTTTGCTGAAATTGTATACAGAACTATATTTGGGTTTGTAACTAGGCCAAGATAGATTTCAGTTGAACACACTTTAAACTGCATTTTAAATTGTCCCACTATGTATCCATTGTTGCTAACAATATTTTTATTCAGTTTAACAAAATTCCATATATCCATCCCCATTGAAATAAATCACTAAATTTGGAAAGGTGCTTATCTTCTGGTATCCAAAAATGAAAAAAAAATCATTTGTAGACATGGAAATTTGAGGATATGTGGAAAGGGGTTGCCTGTAGCAGGGATTCATCATAGAGTTTTAAAATGAGTTGGTGCCTTCAAAATATCTAACCCAACTCTTCAATTGAAACCAGAATTTCCAAGATACTGAAACTAATAATGCTGTAATACTACATTATATTTACATAAAAATTTTACAGCTTTCAAAATATTTTCACATATATTTTAATACTTCAATATTCAACCCAGTAAGAAAGTCAGGAACACTCATATAATTTACCAGTCTACAGATGGGAAAATAGAGAGGTGATGACTTCACCGAACAGACACAGTCGGGACTTGCAGAAAGGACACTCCAAATCTGTTCTTACCCACCTAGCAAATTCTTGGTCTTATCCTCATAACTAATAAAGAAAGGTGCCAGGAGATATTAGAATTTTTCTAATTAAAATCAATTTCTCTTCACTACCTTGCTTTCTTTCCCCAATGTTAAAGCCTTATTTAAAGTCACTCAACTGCCTGGGGCAATGCCAGGACTAGAATCCAACGCAGAATTCTCACCACCTCATCAGGGTAACTTACTAAATAGGAGCCAAGAAGTCATACCGTACCACAAGACTCCTTAATCTAAGCAATTCTTGCTCAATATATAAATGAAGCCTAAATATTTGACGACAGAGGAATAGTAAAATAAATTATGATGCTGATGAGATCACCAAGGGTTAAGGAACTTCAGGTTGTCTGTCTCCAAAGCTCATGTTCTGCACTCAACAAACTGTAGTAGTGGTTGGTTCTTTCTTAACAATGAGATTATTTGGGAATTTAATTTTCTTCTATGTATCTTCTTATTTTGCAAGTTTTCTGCAATGAAACCTGTCCTCTTAAAATCAGAGGAAATGATTAAAGGAGTCAGGCAGACATATGTGAGATACTATATTAACTGCACACTCCTGGAACCAGAATGTGGCTCTCAGCCAGTGTGATCCTACGTGGCAGATGGGTGCTTTGGGAAGAGCAGAGGAAGCATGATCCAGGGTATTGCCTGGCATCCAGGAACTTTACTGGGACCTCTGATGTGCACATGACATTTAATAAGCTTCTACTATGGACCAAATACTCTTCTAAATGTTTTGCATATTTTAACTCATTTAATTCTCATAATAACCATATGCTGGGTGGCTTGACTCTTTCACCAAAAGTTTGTGATCCTTACACAGGATTCATTTATTAAAACTGGGTATTTATTGAGCATTTACACACATGCACACATTGGGAATCCTAAAGTGAGTAAAATATGGTCTCTACTGTGGCATAGTCCTTGGTTTTTGAGCAAGGAACAAAGCAGGTATAAGAATGTGCTATGCCTAAAAGAGAATAGTAATTAAGATTTATTGGGAGCTTAACATTTTATCTTAAGACTTCACCATCAACGCCTGCCTGAGTTACTGGCCTGCCAGCCTGTGCTACAAATTTTGGACCTGCCATGCCAGTCCCCACAATCATGTGAGCCAATTCCTTACTTAAAAATTCCTCTCTCTCTTTCTCTCTGTATGTATACACACACACACACACACACACACACACACACACACACACAATTTGTTCAGTTCTGTCTCTCTGGAGAACTCCAAGTGCTACAAGTGCACTTTCTGATTTAATTTTTTCAAACTTACATGTTTAAATTACCCATGAGAAAGACTGTTATCGTCACATCCACTTTCCTGAGGAGGAAACATGTTCACTAGCTCCCTAGAGTCACACACACAGGTTTAAGCTGGATCAGCCTGACTCCAAAGCTAGTGCTCTCATTCTCAACCTGCTGCATATGTGAAGGCTTCACTGAAGGCAGACAGTCTTTCGTTAGTCCACTTGAAAAGTCAGAACAGACTGTTTCCATATAGAGAAGGAATGGAATGGCAAGTCCAAGGGCAAGAGAATGGCAAGGAGCTCTGTCTGGCTGGGCCAGTGAGAGATGAGGCTGAAGGCAGCCTGTGTGTGAAAGCTTTGCACAGCACACTAAGGCATTTGGACTTCATCTTAGAAGCATGGTAAACAATCAAAGGCAGATGAGGAAATTGATGTCTTTTGTGGCTGTGAGGAGGATTCATTGGAAGGTGGAAGCAGCAAGGTCTGATCAGATGTGTTAGCAGGGGATGAAAGAGAGAGAACAGAGTCAAGAGCTATTTAGGAAAGACAATCTACAGCTCTTAAGGACCTACTGATGTAGGACAGGAAGGAAGGAGGAATTAGGAATTAATCCAAGCAGTGACTCTAGCTTGGCTACCTGGTAGACATAGTTCTTCAAATTAGTGCACAAGAAGGCTAAGAGAAATTTAATGGTTACAGTCAATAGCACAGGAGTAAGGTTCTACCTACAATCGGGCTTAGAGACCATTTCAGGCCATTGTTACCAGAACTGCTGCTGTGAGAAATTTTTGACATGTCATTTTTGGTGATTCACTAAGGGCATTTGTAAAGGTGGGTGCACAGGTAGATCACCTATATTCTAGTGGTTTTTTATATGTATGTTTGTTTTTGAGACAGAGTCTCCCTCTGTGGCCCAGGCTGGAGTGCAGTGATGTGATCATAGCTCACTGCAGCCTCCGCTTCCAAGGTTCAAGTGATTCTCCCGCCTCAGCCTCATGATTAGCTGGGAGTACAGGTGCGCACCACCATGCCCAGCTAATTTTTTTGTAATTTTAGTAGAGGCAGGGTCTCGCCATGTTGGCCAGCCTGGTCTATTAACTCCTGGCTTCAAGTGATCCACCTACCTCGGCCTCCCTAAGGGCTGGAATTACAGGTATGAGCCACCTCTCCCGGCCTGTATTCTGGTTTTATTCCCTGTATTTCAACTTTGGGAAACTGCTTGTGGTAAGGAATGCAAGGTAATATCATCTCATGTGCCAATTCCAATCAATTCACAGGAATTTCCTGGAATATGATGTTGAGATAGATACTAAAGCTAGGGAGAAAGATGGCTGTGATTGATTAGTGATGCCATACATGTTCAAGAAAGGGGTGGCCTAGCACATGGACATTGAGAATAAAGGATGATAGAGTATGCTTGTAACTTAATAGTATGGTGAAGAGGAGAAAGAAATCTGTAAGGCCTGTCTTCAGGAGAGGTACAGCAATAATCTACAGAAAAAGCAAAAGAGCAAGCAGTAATGTCTAGCCTCCAAAGGCTAAGAAATCCACAAGTAACACCCAATAGAACAATGGAAACTGTTCTATTTTATTATTAGTTATTATTGCCAATCTCTTACTGTGCCTAATTTATAAATTAAACTTTACCATGGGTATATAGGTTGAGAAAAAACTGTCTGAGAAAAAAACTGGCATCTGCACCACACTCTCTCAGATGTATATTTATTATTTCATTTGCTCTTCATAATGACTCTACGAGGTAGGTAGCCAGCATTATTCTCCCCTTACAAATGGGGAAGCTGAGGCCAACCGTTCCAGAACTCACTCAAGGTCACCCAGTCACAGAGGCGGTATAGTCCCTCTTCAAGTCCTGGCCCTTCCCCCCACACTGTACTGACTCACTGAGAAAATCAGGGGAGAGAGCTATAAATGGTCACATTGTATGTGTACTCAGTAGAACAATGACCCTGGGGACACATTCATTTGTGTCTCTTGGCAGTCACCCAGCCAGCCTCAGCACCTTTGAACGTGAAAAACACCATGGGCTCCAAGTCTTTGTCTATTCACAGTTTTGGAATCATTACTAAAATAAACTTTGACTTGTCCTCTTACAGAGAGAATAAAAATCCTTAGGTAAGTCTTTTCATTTGGCCTTGGTTTCTGCAACTCTAAAATGAGGTTGAACCCATTTGGTTAATCTTCAAATGATGGCACACATTATCATGTTTTCATGATAACAGCCACAGCTTTCATAAAATATCAGTGAACACCGAGCTGTCCTCCTCAGGGAAAAAAAAGGGCTTTTGTTCGTGGTGGGAACCAGGCTTTTTGATAAAACGTGTGGTAGAAGGTAAGCTGTGAAAGTTTAGAGTCCACTGGACTAGTGACATCACATCATGACGCTCTTCCTCAGAAAATTGTGGAAATTTTCTACTGAGCTACTGAAAAGAGCCCACTGGGATAAAATCCTTCTGTGTGAGGTGGCCTTCTTCAAGTTGATGACTGTTCTGAAAGATCATGACCTGATAATAAAATTAACTTGCTTAGTTCTGAAGAAGGCTTTTGAAACATCCAGTCAGATTTAAACAATCTGCTGTTTACTTGCCAGTCAGAGACCTAGGCCAAACACTTTGGATATGAGCAAGATTTTCCAGTTACGCCGTTATACAAATAAACAGCACTTAACTAGGAGTCAAGCCTGGCTGATAAGTGCTGGTTCTGCCACTAGTAAGGAGGTCACCTTGAGTGTCACTTAACCTTAGTGGGCCCTAGTTTCCTTCTGTTTAAAATAAGGATAGTAACACAAAAGTCCCTCCTTATCCAAGGTTTCATTTTCTGTGGGTTCAGTTACCCACAGTCAACAGTGATCTGAAAATATTAAATGAAAAATTATAGAAATAACCAATTCATAAGTTTTAAATTGCACACCATTTTGAGTAGTGTAATGAAATCTCGTGCCATCCTACTCCATCCTGTCTGGGACACGAATCAGTCCTTTGTCCAGTGTATCCACGCTGTCTACACTACCTGCTCTTAGTCACTTAGTAGTCGTCTCAGTCATCATATTGTTGCATATCGCAGTGCCTGTGTTCAAGGTCAATGGCAGCCTAACGCTGTGTCACAATGCATACGTCATTCACTCCACTTCATCTCATCATGTAGGCACTGTAACATCTCACATCATCAGAAGAGAGGTGCATACTGTATAACAAAATATTTTGAGACAGACACCGCATTCACATAACTTTTATTACAGCAGATTGTTATAACTGTTCTAAATTTTATTATTCGTTATTGTCGCCAATCTCCTACTGTGCCTTATTTACAAATTAACTTTACCATAGGTAAATTTAATTTTACCTGTGATAAAGGTAAAATGATCATAGGTAAAACTGATACCTACTGATTGATATCTATGAAGGTATATATATAATTATATATATAAATCATCTTTATCTCATATATATGTATAGGAAAAAGCATAGTGCATATAGGGTTTGGTAATATCTGTAGTTTCAGGCATCCGCTGGGGATCTTGGAACATATCCTCTGCAGATAAGGGAGGATTACCGTACTTATTCTTTCTACCACACAGAGACATTGCACGAATAAAATATGTACATGCTAATGTGGTATCATATACTAGACTCCATGCTTCTGAAGAAGGGGGACATTGTTGCCTTGTGTTTTGCTGCCATTTCATTGTGCCTAGTACAGCAACTGAGATATCAGAAACACTCCAGGTGTATCTGTTAGATGAATAAAGCATTTTTAAAACTTTTAAGCATGTGCAAATGTCACATAATCTTTGACAATGCCCTAAATGAGCTCAGTATTTTCCTCCTTAAATTGTTTGTTAAAGAGAAGAAACACAGGTAACTCCACACAAGCTTTCAAAAATCCTAAACCACTAGTCCTGACACATAACAGAAGTGGATATGAACCAAAAATAAAAATGAAAGTTTTTGGTATACACCAAAAAACATGTGAGTAGATGTGTAATTTTGATCCTGGAATGACACTTTCATGGCATTTACATCTTTTCTGTGAAAATGTTCAAGCCTAGAGTTGTTGCTGAGCTCTCAGCTGTAACTTTGGGCTTGGAATGGTGAGCTAAGACAAGGACATGACACTCATTCACTTATTAAATGTGTGAGAAGAATGAGCCCAAGGGGCACTGTCACAAGACATTCACAGAACGGGTATCTGAATGCTAGACTTCTGAATGCTCACCTGTCACTTGATCCATGGATCACATAAACTCATGCTGACTGACTTCTGCAAAAGGATGCCCACATGGGCAGACATTTTAATCTGTTTTGTTCACTACTGAGCTTATAGCACTTAGAATAATGCCTAGTGTGCATTCGATACAGAATATTTGATGAATAAATAAACAGTTCCAGACTAGGAGTTGCAGAAGAGGGTTGCCATAAATGCACTTTTTGTGTTCCAGTACAGCAAAGAGGCAAAAGTAAATTGTGGATGCAGAATAAACAACATAGAGAAAAATTAAACTAATAAAAGGTAGATAGTAATGCATTTGAATTATTTGTGTGTCAGGGATGAATATATTCTGAGGTGAGAGGAAAAGGAGTCAGTCATTAGAATTCAAACCTTGGAGGGAGTAGATGTGAGGAATCCTAATCATTCAGAAAATGCCAGAGACTGTTAGAGCTGGAAGTTCTAGAGGTATGGCACATCAATTATCTCATTTTGTTTGCAAGGAAACAGAGCCCAGGAATGTAAAGTAACTTTCTCATGGCATACAGCCAGGCAGTCACAACACTTAGACTCAAACTCAAGTCTGACTTCTGGGTTCATGTTCTTTCAACCAAAAAGCCCAACTGCATAAAATCAGCTAACACATTGAGCTCCTAAGATTAACAAATTCTTCAATCAGGAGTAATTTGCATCTGAAAAATCTCATATTCCATGACATTGCCACTGTACACACAAATACACCGAACAACATTACACTCGTTTACATTCACTCATTTATTTAAAAATACTTTCCCACATTCCAAGTCGAACCTGCTGGCTTTATAAGCCACCATTTTCAGGCTTGGTCATAAACCAGAGAAAAGGAATGAGAACCCAGGAAGGGAAAGGTGGGATGGAAGAATGAGAAAAGTAGAGAAAGGAAAGGCAGAAATGCAAGGAAGGCAAAGGAAGAGAGAAAAGAAAAAAAGCATCCAGCATACTGACAAAACTGACTCTGGGAATTCTTTGAATGGTGGTGCTACAATGTGCCTCTTTTCATTATGAAATCATTTCCTAGGAGCTCATCACCAAAACAATTCAAGCTCAAGTACATATTTTCAAATGAACTATTTCTTTTTTTTTTGCATCTCAATATATATTATCTATTTCTCACAATTTATCACTGCAGAATATTGTCTTATTTCCTAATTGTTTCATGTTTATTGATTTTATTTCTCCAGTGAGAATACATATTTGAGCATTTTTTTCTTACGTCCATCATAATGCCCAAAATAATACCTAATAATGAATAGTATACAGTTATCTGAGCCATTTATATCTAGTTTTGTTCACTTATTCAATTAATAAACATGTTAAGTATTTATAGTGTGCCAAGAGCTAAGGATACAGAGATGAAAATGGTAGACCAGATTTCTGCCTTCGTGGAGCTTACATTTGAGTGAGAGATTCAGCCCATGCACTGAAAGCAACCACAAGCCATAAACACAGCTCTGAGGAGAGAGAGCGGGCTGAGATGGACTCAGTAGCCCAGGATATATGTTTGAGATGACAAGGATGATAGCAAAGGCTGCCTGAGGAGGTGACAGTTTTGCTGGGACCACAAGAGAATTGGTAACTCCATGACCTGCAAAAGGAGTGTTTTAGGCAAAGAAAAAGCCCTGAGGCATGAAAGTGTTTATTCTAAACATGAGGAGGCAGGCAGTGTGGCTTTCAGTGTGAGTGAAGTATTTGATGAGCCTGAAAAGGCACAGCAGGCCAGAGCATGCAGGGTCTTGTAGCCTATGGATTTTAAGAGAAATGGGAAGATATAGAAGTTTTCTTAAACAAGGAAGTCATGCCATGTGAAGTATTTAATTCTAGATGCCTAATATCTTTCTAATATCAGATCTTTCTAATATCCTGCAGATGTAGTTAACCAACATACAAGTTCCAAGAATAGAGGCCCATCGCTTCCCAAGTCTAAATACACTTCCCCAGTCTCTCTCCCATGGAAAGCTTGCCATTATGTGCCCACACCTACATTTGGTAGTTAGCACACAAACCTGTGAGACCCAATACCTCTGCCTCACACCGTACTTTTTCCTGCTTTTACTATGCTCCTCAATTCTGTTCTACCTATGACCTCTTTCTTATTCAGTTAATTTCTCCAAATGGGACTTACTCAGACACATGAGCCCAAATTCATAATAATCCCTTATCATTTTTCTCTCTTCCAACTCCTTTAGAATTATCTCAGCAAATTCTCTCTCCCACTTTTAATTCAGTCTGTGAGTTTACATCATGACTTTACTCATAATTTAAAAGCAGTTTGTATGATAAAATTGAATTGAGAAAAGATAAGCCACAAGTATGAGGGTAAAATTGAACATAATTGAAAAATCCAGTGTCATGAGTATCTAAAACTTCTGAAAATACCTAAAGTATTTGATGGTATTCTGAAAATACCTTCTAATTTTTTCTCCAGCTCTTCATTGTCCTCCAATTAAAGCTTCTTTCCTTCAAACAGCAACATCCAAAATTAAAAACACATTTAATGCCATAATTTTCTTCTATTTGATTACTATGGGAACCATACTGTTCTTTACACATTTTATGGCAAATATTTGCATGTTAGCTAGATATTGGGTTAATAGCCTTTGATGGACTTGTGTGAGACTCTATTATTTGTATCATTATTCCTATGGGAAAACATGTTCCAAGTAACCAGCTCACAAACAAACTTTCAGGAACATAAAAATTGTGAGTTGGTAACTTCCTGTACCTTGTTTATTTGAAACATGGATAGTGTATGTGCTACATCCAACAGAAAGAATGATCCAGAGTCTTCTAGTATGGTTTATCTAATTTAATTTTTTAAAGACTCCATATTCTTTTTAGAAGTATAAAGATGACCCCTGACATTTGGATGGGAACATATATATCTAAAGAGGTTCTTTATGATACAGAACACTGGAGAAGATGAGAAATTACACAGGTGATGGAACATATATTGGAATCTTCTATCTGCATGTTTAGATTTTCTAAAGTAATTTCATCATTTAAAGAAGAGAATCAGTAGGAAAATTAGAAGCATTCCCTTTAAAACTTCTTAACTAAATACAAAATGAACAGCTCCAGCTTCAAGATGTCTTGCTCTTTTCTGACCAAACCAAAGAATTTTCCAAATGTTATTTTAGTAAAACTCTGTTTCTAGATAGGAAAAGAAGAAGTTCTTAGTGTTTATAAGGTTTATTGCAACAACAGAAGTTTAGTTACTCTTCAATTATGCAAAATTTTTTAAATAATGATTTTGGACATAAAAGGCATTAATAAGAAGTTAAAGAGTATAGTTCTGTCAATATTCATATTTAAAACAGAGAGACACAGAATATGCAACCAAAGGCACTACAGCCTATTTTTCAATTAGGTTAACATGCCCAACCTGATGCAAAGCAAAACTAAGAGGTTCCTAGAGGGTCAAAAACATGAGCTTTGTGGTTAAATGGATGTAGGTTCAAATTTCACTCCACCATTTTTTTGCCTCAATGCATTATTTTTACTTTTGAAAGGTAGAAAAGGACTGAAAAAAGCACCGTATATACAATATACTTAGTTTCAGGTTATTATGAGTAGTAAATATAATAAAATATATTAAATTATCCTGAATATTGTAATTAAACCCAGTAAGCCCTTAAAAATATTTGCTTGTTAATTTTTTAAATTGTCATATAAAATGAAACCATTGGCACCCAGAAACTTATCTTTCTAGTATAGCACCTAAGAGCCTGAATATGGAACTAAAAACGCAAAACGCCTTCAGTTGGGCCTACGTGAACAAGGAAAGTACTTTCTAGACACCCTCACAAATAGACAGATAGCCCAAGAAACTCTGACTTAGTTCCAGTTATCTTAGAAAGGATAGCTAAAGAATGCCATTTTCAAACTTTAATAATAATATATCAAAAAATAGTCCTTGAATAGTTGCCCTAACCACATAGACTTCATTGTAAGCTTAGCCAATATGTACACTCCATAGTTAATAATTCCCTTTGCTCATCATCTTTCCTTTCATATTTATACTACAGAAGGCTCCAGATCATGTGGCTTTCTTTAGAAAAGAAACAACTCAATGCCAACCACTGCCAAAAGATAAAGTATGCAGGAAGCAGCAAATCAAGTCCCCTAAAATATGTTTTTTAATTAAAATATGTTAAAAGAACCATGGAGCCACAAACCACTAATCACCTGCTTGTGGTCCCTGGGGAATTATTTCGTTGACTTCCACAAAATTAGGATCACTGAGGAGGTAGTAACATTTATCATCTATGATTGGATGGATTTCCAATAGGCATTGAATGAATGGAGCCTATATCCTGTTCCACACAAACAAAACGTAGTTTACTATGACCCATTCTGCTGAATATTTGTTTACTCTTGCTTTACACAAAGTAGAGAAGTGCCTTTGAAAAGTTGCCATGGCCATGCTTTTTCTGAGCAGCAGACTAAAACACTTTAGCAATATAGAAATGTACAGCCACACGAGTGCAAATATATGTTTTCTTCCTTTCCAGAAATGTGTTTGGGTGGATGACTCTGTGTGTGTGTGAGACACACTAGTTCAGAAGAAATATGATTTTAACTAGATGTTTGGTAGCACATTCTCAGAGTCCACTAATGTTTCAACGAAGAGCTGCCATGACAAATTTGGGGTGCCTTTTATGAGGTTCCTTATCTTTCCAAGGTTATTGTGGTAGATGTACAGAGGCTGGCAATCTCTAGAGATGAGTTAAGTTGAAATAATAATTATATACCACACCTTCAGAATAAGAGCAATTCAGAGGTGAAATTCTGCCATGCAATACCAGAAACATGAATGTATATTGCCAAAAAGACTGTCAACTAAGTTGGAAGGCAACTGATAGCAAATTGATTTTTGGTTAAACTCCTATTTGCCTTTCTAAGGTCACCGAACTATTAAGATAATAAGGCTTAAAAACATTTAAGTAGGAGCTATGGGTAGAAATAAATGTTAATTTCATTTAGCTATTTAAGCCAGTGGGAACACCTGTCCAATTTCTCTTGCAAAAGATCTGGTGAAAGACAACTGTATCCATAGTATAATTCATACTAATTCATACCAGTGCTAAGATAACATTGTTCATTAGATAAATTTGGCAAACCCAGAGCAATAGTGCTAATTCAGCTCCAGCACAAGTCTTTGTTGCAGTTCTCATTTTGGTTTAGGCAGCCTGGATAAGCTTATCACAGAGCTTTGAACTGACATTCTTGGATGGCACAATAGACCATATTACCAGGAGAATCATTCATGAGCATCAAAAAACGTTACAACCTTCAAAGAAGATACTTTAGTGCCATGGTTTGCAAGGCAAGAAGTGAAAAGAAAGAGCATCCAATTCTCTATGCAACACTGAAATCTAATCAGAATGTGTGCAGATGCATTTTTAAGAAAGCTATATGAAGTTGAGCTGGAGAAATACAGTACCTCTACAGGCAAGATATTTTTTCTGAAGAAGATAATCCACATGAGCTTTTAATTGAAAAGTGCATAAATAACACTCTGTCTTGCCTTGTTATTCAAAGATTAAATCAATTTTGAATTAATGAAAATGATTTAATCTGAGAGTGTTAGCAATCTCAATTTATTTAGGCCTGGATTTAAAGGGCTAGCTTGAGAGCCTTTTGCAAACAAGACTCAGCTCCATAACAAAATCATACCCAACCTCTCTTTTAAGGCTATCTTCTAAAATCTGTGGGTTTTGACTCTAGAATTCTTCACTCCCCCAAATCACATTAACAATGTTTGACATGATGACAGGGAGAGCAAAAAGAATTCATTTCTGCCAAATAAGTACAGGCTACACTGCTGTTTTTATGAAACCTTCCTCCTCTTATTCCATTTTGGTAAATTTCTAAGGAATAGTTAAAATCCGTAGGACAAACCTTGGCTTAAGAGGTGGCCTCTCTGCCATTTTCATGGCTGATTTGAGACCCATTATGCACTCAATTCTGCATTGTGAAATCCAGGCTGGGGACAAATTTCTGCCTGTCATCTTAGGAAAGGCCAGGAGTTTTGCACCATCCTATAGTGTGAAAACAGAAAATCAAAGCCTGCATAGAGCTGCTTGCTTCTTTCCTGATCAGCTTGCTGCTTTTTGGAGACAATCTTGGCTGTCACAGTGTCAGACTGGGAAGGGTAATTTAGCAGAATAAAATATAGTTTAAATAGCATCTCTCCAGGGAAAGTTCCTCCTTACACTCAATATTGAATATGCGAAAAGATCATCAGCAAATAATCATTTGATACTTGGCTAAAATCCATTGGACAGGGAAAGCATTTAGGGAGCACAAAATTCTTTTTTAACCTGATAAGACCCCGAATCAGGAGGCAAGAGGCCCGGATATTTTCCTTATATTTTTCATTCTGTTGCAATGACATTCTCATACAACTACAGTTTATGGACCAAATTTGCTGCCCTCCCCATCCCAATAATATGATGTAAACTGCAGAGATAAAAATACCTTATGAGAATTTTTACAATTTTAAACAGTTCACTGAAAATGTCTGTATGGATAACTCTGTTAATGACCTCTCCTGTCTAATGTCAATTTCAGAAAACAAGTTTCCATTGTAAATGTTTAATCAGTGTAGTCCCAGGAACCCAGAACAGAAAACCTTATCTTCTCGCCCAACTTATTTGCTCTGCAAGCTCTTTCCTAGCTCCATCTCAGCTCCCTGCAAACACTTTAGGCTTTTCTCTCTCAAAGGAGCTGGGAGCTCTGTAGGTTCTGAGCTAGGCAGCAGCCCTGTGGTTTGATTCCATTAGTCTGAGCCCAGATCCACTGCAAGCAAACTGCAGCATTTCTGCTTGCAAAACATTGGCAACCAGGTTCTAGAACCGCCACATACACTGGCTGCACATATTCTTTAATGCTGTTCTGCCCAAACCTTGCCTGAAGCCAGTCAACCATAGCAGAAAGCATCCTACCTTCCATCATGGTGGCAGAATTGCATTCCTTAATTTCCAAGGAGTCTGAAAAAACACAGGAGGATACGATTCCAGGTCCCAGCTAAGTCCTCACCACGCCGCTGCTGAGGTCTATTCCGTCCGCTGTCAAAGCCAAAGGAGATAAGTGTTAAGCCAAAAGACAGGCCATGGATGCTGCTGGTGCTTCTTCACCTACAGGCAGGCTACCAAGAAGATGCTGAGAGAAAGGGAGAGGAACGGCAAGCTGGCCGAGCTGCACCGCCTGCGCTGCCTCGGCCAATCCCTTCAGCTTTGGACCGCGTCACATGGTAGCCAGCCTGCATCTCCTGACACAATACCCCCGGAGAGCACACAGAACCTATTTCCCGTCCCCATTCCCCTCCACCCCCATCGCCTCCCGCTTGTCACCAAATACACAGCCCCTTCCCCACCTGGTGACGCACTTCCCCCGCCCCTCCTCGTCGTCTCCTTAAGCTTACAGAAGCGGCTGGGTGCCCGAGATTAGTTATCAAGGGCTGCCACCTTAACAGGGGACTCTGGCGTGAAAGCAGCACCTAAGTGGCTCGCTGCGGAGGGGGTTCTTTTCTTTTTCTTTCTTTCTTTCTTTTTTTGTTTTTTTAAGAAAAACTTAATAATTCCGTGCAGCCGGAAATCTTAGCAACACACTTCTAAGCTCCCATTCCGGTGTCCTTTTACCCTGAAGGAATTCCAAATGTCAGTGTCTGTGGCCTCCGTGCACATCTGTGCGTCTCTCTCTCTCTCCGTCTCTCTTTCTCCCCTCCCATCCTTCATTCAAGAGAGAAAAATCAATCCGACTGACGTCACATCATAAACATCCCCAAAAGGATGATGCAGAAGAAATTTCACCCCAGCTGCCTTCGTGAGAGCCAGGGAATTAATTGCGCATGACATGCTGAAGGGCTGGGAACTGTCATTAAAACAAAGAAACAAAAGAACCCACCCGAGTGGGGCTCTGGAATCAAACTGGCAACGCTCGAGATCGTTTCTGGGGCGGGAGGCTGGAAAGGGGAGCAGGCAGGGAGCGGAAGCCTGAGCCCGACCAAAGACAGCTGTGCACGCCGGCTCCCTCCCACTCCAACCTGGGCTCGCCGTCCGGGCTACAGACGGGACCCTGCGGGGCGCCCTTCGACGACCGAGTTCGAGTCCCGCCGCCACCGCGTCCTCCCCGCCGAGCGCACACGGGAGCGGCCTCGCTTCCCCAGGTGGGGAGCTTTTCTCGCAACCGACTGGGGCTGCAGCTGCCAACTGCAGTCTCTGTAGGAAACAAACTTTCTCCTAAATGACACGTTTCTCCGCGACGCGCCTCCTGCATCTGGAGTCGCCTTCAAGCCTATTCATTCACCCAAGTGGAAACCTGGAGGGAGGCAGTTGTGCCTGGTTGTGGCGGAGCCCAGGGTTTTGAAGCTGCCAGGAATGGGATCTGGGGGCTGTGTAGTTGCCTAAGTGGGAAGTTGTGTCACTGGGCCCGGTTGGGTTCAGTCTGTCACCTGACTGCTCTCCAGAGACCATGGAGCCTTTCAGAAGGGCCCAGCCCTGGGGGATCTACGACCCTTGGTTCCCTTCAAGAAAGCTCAGACAGCGAAGGAAGAAAAGGGCAGGGCAGCCTATGAGAGAGAGAAGGCAGAGAAAAAGGAAAGGAGATGGGAGGAAAGGGAACGCCTTCTTTAGAACTCAGGAAAAACAACATCAGAAGTGGGCATTTCTCCCTGTATAATCTCACAGTATGACCAGGAGAAAAGCTGTTACAATAGAGAGCAATTGTGAGCATCCAATGAAAATGTACTCAAAATAACTGGAAGAAGATGCATGGTATGATCAGGGTTGAGCCTGTAATGTATTATTAATCATTTCTATTAGCAATATACTCATGAACTTTTTCTATTGCTCAGCCCTGGACATGGCCTAGCTCTTTCTACCAAAGCAAATATGACGTACTGGTGACTGACTGAAGTAGCATATTAATAGTTGAAAAGCAAAACACAGCTCCTTAGCAATTTAGAAGTTTTGAAAAACCCATTGTTCTCCCTAAGGACACATACTTCAGTGGCCTCTAAATTTTAAAATGAAATTCTTCAGGGAGATACAAATACTTGTGACTTTTTTCTTATGTCTCTAAGACAGTTAAATTTTAAAAGGGGAATGAATTCCTAAGTAAAACCTGCCTTGAGTACAACTTACACTGCTCTGAAAACTGGAGGGGTATTATTGCAAAAAGGATTGATTTGTGTGTGTGTGTGTGCATGTGTGTGTGTGTTTAGCAAATGTTTTGTAATGATTAAGAACATTGATGGGTATTCGTGTCAAATAGATGGGCACCAAGTTTTGTTTGTGCCACATAATGAGCTCTGTGACTCTGAGCAATTTATGTAATTCTCTGTGCCTCACAGTTTTCTTATCCTGAAATGGAGAGAATAATAATGCCAAGTTAATTGAGCTATAAATGGTAATAATAACAAACCTGTATTAATGGCTTACTATGTGCCAGACAGTATTCAAATACTCTGCTAGTAAATTACTTAGCATTTTGTCTGGAGCATAATAAGACCTGCATGTTAGCTTTTTAGTATTAGTATTATTACTACCAAAGGGCTGGCAGATGCATCAAAGAAGTTTGCAGCCAACTGGGAGTTGTACCAAATGCACAGAGAACAAGTTAGTGAAAGACCAGGTGATGCATCCAAAGATGTAACATGTTGGAGATTTCTGAAAGGCTGCTAAGTAGGAAATCAAAATCTAATGAGGTTAATTAGGAAAGACTTTTTTTTTTTTTTTACAGAGGTGAAATTTCAGAGTTCAGAACTTAATTGGAATGGGCTTGAAGTGGTAGTTCTAAAGAATATAGGGAGTTGTAAGTAAGAAAAAAGTATCATGTAAAATCTGGAGGTGAGTGCAAGCACTGAGGTGCAGGAGTGGGGGCCATTGTTAGGATGTAAGGGAAAGGTGGAGAAACCCAGGCTGCCTGCCTTCTTCCTCCCAATGTAAGTTTTACAGTGTGTTAGAGCAATCCTCTCAGATAGGTTTGGTATGGGTACACTTCAAGTTTTTTTAGACTTGCAGCAACTATCTAGAGACAGCAAGTCAATGGAAAGATTCTTTTGGTCAATGACTATTTATAGGAAAAGCAGAAGTTTGTAGATATTGTCAGAAAGGGATGTGTATTTCAAGGTGGTAAAGCTAATCCCAAAGGCTAAACTTCACCGCAACTTCATCAGTTGTGTGTATTTTATCCTTTAAAAAGAAGATGCTATTACCAATAGCATATCCAATAGAACATCCAATGAATGAAGTTCTGTTTCAATAAAATTTGCTCAAATATGTAATCAAAAGAGATTATCCTAATTGTGGTGTTTTCTCATAGGTTTTTTTCTTTTTATTTTCTTCTTCTTCTTTTTTTTTTTTTTTTTTTTTTTTTTTGAGACAGTCTCACTCTGTTGCCCAGGCTGTAGTGCAGTGGTGAGATCTTGGCTCATTACAGCCTCCACCTCCTGGGTTCAAGCTATTCTCCTGCCTCAGCCAACTGAGTAGCTGGGATTACAGTCATGCCCCACCATGTCCACCTGATTTTTTTTTTTTTTTTTTAGTAGAAAGGGGTTTCACCATGTTGGCCAGGCTGGTCTCGGTCTCCCGACCTCAAGTGATCCACTAGCCTCGGCCTCCCAAAGTGCTGGGATTACAGGTGTGGGTCACCATGCCTGGCCTCTCATAGGTTTTTGAAAAAAAAATTGTTTTGATCAAGAACAAAGACAATACTTTAGGTTGTGGTTCAAATTTTATCACTTCATCGTATAATTTTTGCTTGCCAGCAAGGGCAAAGGAGAATATCTAGCCTCCAAAACCATGGAATACTTTTTGCAATTCTGAAATGAAAGTCAAATGGTATATGGAAAAGATTGGGTAAATAACTGACTTGCATCAAAGTGCAAGAATTGCTCAGGAGTTCAGCTCAGGATGTGAATGTCAACCCAGATCATACCAGGCTCTGATATGGTACTTATGACTGGTCCAAGACCAAAAACTAAATTGCTGAAGTCACTAGACATTCAACATTTTTTCTAAAATAACATTTGTATGGTAGTAATGGCTGATTACATAGTGTTTCAGAATGAAATCTTATTATATTCCTACTATAAAAGCTGAGCTTCTTCACTATCTCCCAATTTTAGGTTGAAGGGGAAATTTGTTTATATTTTAGAAAGAGAAAGAAGACAATGAGAATTGAGTCACAAAGAAAGGAGGAAAGAAAATTAGCATTAAAATATGGATCCAGATTTGTGTATGTGTTTGTGTATCTCCAAGGTAGTGCTCTTAACATGACAATTGACTCTGCCCCTTTTGCTATCCCCACTGAGGTAATTCAGTGAATGTAGATGGAAAAATATGTTGCCCAAGTCCTGGAAATTGGCAAGACTGAAAAATTGGAATTCCATGAGATGATATAGATGAAAAAGAGATACATATATTTGTGTGTGTGTGGGTTCCCATAGTTACTCTATTCCTGGCTGAAATAAAAGAACTCCAACTTCAACTAACATGGGCAAAAATGGAATTTATTGAGGTAGCTCATAGAATTATAGCAAGAACTGAACAGCTGAGGGAAAGCAAGAACCAGGACAATCCAGGAAATTTTGTTACCTGAACCAAGTACTCAGAACTCTCTCTGTCTCTTCCAGCATGTCATCTCCTTTTCTCTTACTAATTTTTCTCCACATGATCAGGCCTGACCATTAGCATCCTCTAAGCTCACCTCTTCACAGATTTACTAGGCTAGATCTCCTTCAAAAAACTTCCAGGGAAGGACTGTGGTTGACCTGGCTTGGATCATTGTTCACTTTTCAAACCAGTCACTGGGGGCCATGTTGATGAGTTCTCATGATAGATTTTTTTTAAACCAAAACTTACATTGGACTGTCATATGCTGACTACTGTGCCTATGTATGTGTGTGTGTGTATATATATATATGTGTATATATATGTGTGTATATATATGTGTATATATATATGTGTATATATATATGTGTATATATATGTGTGTATATATGTGTGTATATATATGTGTATATATATGTGTGTGTGTGTGTGTGTGTATACTATATATATATACACACAAGTTTCTATGGCAAACAGAACCCATAATATGATTGTATCCAGAGAGAAACCAGCAGAACCTGTAGTCATGCTCCTGTTTCCCTGGGGGGAAGACTCTATGTGCTGGCCCACTTATGCCAAAGACAAGACATGCCCTTGTATGCTTTTCACCCATTGGACTATGAGCATCCCAAGAGCCATGTGTTCATAGCTACATGAGTGCTGAAGGAATTTATATCAGCTGGGAGTACTGCTTAATCTAGACCTACATTGATAAAGATAAGCAGTAACACTGAATCTATGAGAAAATTCAACAGTTTCAAAAGAGAAGGAAAATAACTACAGCTCACTGAAGCATAGGAAATGTCCCCACCGAGGCAGAGGAAATGTGGAGAACTTGAGAGGCATTTTTCAAAAAATCTGTTTTTTAGTTTTGATATAATTTCAGAGATACAGCAGCAATAAATAAGAGCAGATTGCTGTGATAAAAGAGCATACTGAGAGCCAGAAAGAGTGCATGGAAGTAATAAAAACATTCTCATTAAACATTTAAAAATGTTATAGCTATAAGCAGTGATATAATGGGTACTGCCAAGATTGAACATTGATAGCCCAGTGGCTATGTGCTTGAAGCATAAACCTACAACAACAGCAACTGTCCCAAGCATAGTGGAATTCTTTCTCTCTTTGGAGAATCAAATCACTCCGATGCAATTTTGACAGCTCAAGAAACTGGAAAAAGAGAAAAAGCTCCATAAAGCTTCAACTTATGAATTATAAAACATGACAAAAATAATTAAAAATAGAATATAGCTCAATCTTACTTATGAATATTGATACAAAAATTGAAATAAATGACAGCCAACATAATAGAGCTTTTCAAGAACATTGTATATTATATTAGACTTTACTCTAAAAGTAAGAAAAAATAATTCAACATTAACAGTCTACTAATATAATTTACAATATTAAGCTTTTAAAAAGAAGCATATAATTGTCTTCATAGTTGCCAAAAAGAGATTTGATAAATTTCAACTTAAATCACTCATGAAATAAATAAATCTTAACAAAGAAAGAGATATAAAACTTCCCCAGGATGGTGAAAATACATATCTTGACCCCAAATAGGCCATTTTTTAAATGGAAACATAATGAAAACATTTTCATTATCAAGAATAAAAATAAAAAATAAGACAATTGTTCTTTATCATCACCGTTATTTAATATTTAATACTATTTTATGGATGCTAGCCAAAATATTAGGAAGAAAAATAAATAAAATTGTGTCAGAGACAGTGGTACATGCTTATCACACCACTTTCTCCATCTGGATACACAGGAAGACTGTATTTGTCAGCCTTCCTTGCAGCTGGATGGAGTCATATGACGAAATTAAGGCCAATGGAATTTTTCAGGCCTGGCCTTTACAAACATCCTGCATATTCTCCATACCTTTCTTCCCCTTCCAAATTTCAGAGAGCTGCCTGGTCCTCATCAGACTTTGAATGTGTGAGAACTAAACCTTCATTATGTTAATCTCTATATTATGTACATAAACATTTACATATGTATGTATATTATACATGTCTTAGTCTGCTTGGTTACTATAACAAAATGCTATAAACTGGGTAGATTATAAACAACAGAAATTTATTTCTCACAGTTCTGGTGGCTGGGAAGTCCAAGATCAAGGCTCTGGCAGGTTGCGTGTCTGATGAGGGCCTAGTCTCTGCTTCCAAGATGGTGCCTTGTTGTTGCATCCTCCAGAGGCAATGCTATATCTCAGATGGCAAAAGCGGTGCAAGGGAAAAAGGGCTGAATGTTGTGTGGAGCCTCTTTTATAAAGGCCTTAATCTCATTCACGAGGGAGGAGCCCTCATGGCCTAATCACTTCCTAAAGTCCCAATCTCTTAGTACTACTACATTGGAGATTAAGTTTCAGCATGAATTTTTGACAGGACACAGACATTGTGTCCATAGTAGTAACCAGTAACTTCTCCATTTTGCTCAAGCAAATTCAACTTGGCTATCTGTCACTTGAAAAGGAGTCCTAAATGATTCAGTCCATTCCAGGAAGTACTAAACGTCAAAAATCATTAATATTGAGACTTGTAAGCATATGCAAGAAACAAATGAAATGCTAGAAATAGGAGATAAAGCCAAGGAGGTGCAAGTCAGACAGTACCAAAAGTGGATTAGAGAGTGAGAGACAACGGAAGTGAAGTCATTTAAGATCATTTACTTTGAAAGAGCTCTGTGAGACCTGAAGTTCTTTTCTTTTTCAAGGTCACTAGCCAAAATAAGAGGTCAGTGGTTCAGCTTAGTTCAAAGATGTGGATGAAGTTAGAGAATAATCAGAATATCATAAAATAACATAATTTCTTTTAAGAGTCAAGCCCAAAGAAGGCCATTGTCATCCTAAAATAGTGTTTTTCACTGGTATCCACTACCTTCTTTTTAGTGACCATTACAAACTAAATAAATCATATGCTAGAACCGAGGGAAAAAAATCAAAAGGAAATAAAAGACATTTGAATACATAACATGTCATATTAGCTGAGGAACTTAGGTTATATAGAATTAACTCCTAGAAGTAAAAGAGTCTTGACTCTTGGTATACTTAATTTCAAAAGGATAATGTGTTGATGTTTAGATTAGGAGATAATCAATCTTTGACAATGAACTGCAGAGGCAGTACCATCTTCAATTATATGGCTACTTTTATTTTTATTTTTTTTAAAAAAAGCTGTCTCGCTCTGTATTTTCATTTGGAAAATATAATTGCATGAACTTAATTTTCTAACCGCATTTAACTGGGGATAAGTGTCAAGTAGCAAACCCTAAGATGTCAATAATTCATTGGTTCACCTTGTAATTGCCATAGCTACCAAGAACTTCAGTGCCTTGACCTCTGGAAGGGAGGGGTGAAGTTTGGATTGAAGCTTTATTTAGCAAATCCTTTCCATTCAAAACCCATAAGCTCCTTGTGCCTGTCAGCAACTGTCCAGAAGGGGCCTTGTCAACAGATCCTATTCAAGGTGAGGGCACTACAGAAGCAGAGAAAGGTAGGAGGAGCCTTGGAGGCTTCTGCTGTAATCAGGCCTATCACACGTGCATGTGCAGTGCTTTAATGCTCAATCTCAGCTGATAAACACACTTGTATATGCACAGTCCAGTAGAAATAAACTCCAATTGCTTCTTTTAGGTTTTGTGATTATTGTCCAGAACAAGAACAGTATCCAGTCCAACTCATTTCAAAATCTACTAACAGTATGAATAGTATGACAAAATTTGTTGAAGCCTGAGGATTTAAATGGATCAATATGTGTCTAAGCTATAATATTAATCATGCAACCTGTTCACCTAAGGCTTTAAAGATTTGGAAAGGCTTAGGGTTTATACCCAAAATATCGGAGATGCTTATACAATTGCTTTTTTTCCTTCTTTAAGAAATTGTTGTGCCCCTAGTTACTCATCTCCTTGGATCTAGGCCATGGTGAAATATTTCTAACATAAAAAGGACAAATTACTAAGTTCTCTAATCTTATCTCTTTTATAGTTGACAATTAAACCAAGTTATTAGACCCATAAAATGGAATAAGAGAAAGGTCTTGCTGAATAAATAATTTCAATTTCAGGGTTGCTTGATAAATAGTGACAGGAATATAAATTCTATTGCATAGAGTGGACTTGAGAAATGGATTTGAGATGAGAAATATATTCTGTTTGTGAAGCAAAGCAATGTAGTGATTGCTAATTTCATTAAGGCATTAGCTGATTATAATTCAGTATGTTAATTTAATATTATGGGTGATAAGCTTTGCGCTATAGTTCTGATCTATAATAACCCTGGGTATATTTGTAGCCCCATTGTCAGGCCATGCCTTTTTCAGTTTCTTTGAACCCACATCATTGATATCTTTCATCTGTAGTTTCAGTTTCTCTGGTTGTGAACCTACCCTGACAAACCTGGAAAGAATGTTAGGGATTGCATTCATTCCAAACAGCAGGTGAAGCCTAGAATGATTTGTGTTTGCAGTGTGGTATCAGTGTGCAGAGGATGAACTCTGAATTATGGAACACCCTCCACTGCTGTATTCTGGTCTACCTGCCTAATCTGCTCTTGGTTTTCCTGCTGGCTTCTTCACAGGACCTGCTTGAAAGGGGCTCTGTCTCATTTTCTGGTTTTACCAAACAATTTCCACGGTATCCATTTTCCACTTGCAGTTTTACATTACTGGGCACAACTACCACAGGGGCCAAGGGTACTGAATATAAACCAACACTAGATGGTCACTAACTGAATCAGTCTGGGTTTGTTCAAGAAAATAGAGCAAATGCAAGTATTAACAGGTATAATTGGGCTTAATAAAGAAAACAGAGCTTACACAAATATGGAAAGAACTTGGGGAATATTAATCTGGATGGCTGAGGCTGAGGTCACATGGTAAGTTGGTGGGCAAGCCGAAAGCTGTTTCTCAAAAGAAAATATTTAACACAGAAGACAACATAGCTTTACTACAAAATTCAAAAGGTTGGCAGTGTTATTTATCTTTAGGAGGCTGCCAAGACTTCATACAACATTCGGATCTGTCACAGGAACTTCACCACCATTGGATCTGTAGAGTTATATGGCTCAAGTGGTGGAGCGATTTGAACTGTACCTGTTGCAGAGCCTTCTCTTGCTCTGTATCCCACTCAAAACTAGCAGTGTGAAAAGGTTACTCAGTAAATGAATCAAAGCAGCATGGCTAAGTAAATTATAGATAGCCTCAAGATCCAAATGGGCATCCTAAGTGTTATGGCTTTTTCTAGTGGTTAAAACCACTTGTCCCTTACTTTGTAGGGAGTATCTCAATATATTCCAGACTAAAGAACTCCTAGAAATGTTACTGAGTCTACAAGCCCTGAATTTTGTGGTCTCAACACCTGTCATGGATTTTATTAAGGTATACTAAGATATTTGCTACTTTCTGCTCACCAGTCCTAAACAGTCTGATATCTGCTCGCTAATCCTAAACAGCCTGATATCATCAATGCAATGGGCTAGAATAATATCTTTTGGAATTGCTAGGCAATCAAGGTTCCTGAGGACTGGATTGTATTAGAGGTTGAAGTAAGGCAACATAGTTAAAGTGTACTGCTGCTCTTGCCATATAAGGGAAACTTTTTTTCTACTTGTATTTATTAACACGTATAGAGAAGAAACATCCACTAGATCAACACTGCAGATAAAATATCAGGGACTGTGTTGATTTACTCCAGTAAAATGCCACATCTGGTCAATAGCTTCTACTAAAGTCACCACCTGATTAAGTTTATGGTAATTCAAGATTCATCTTATTGCTGCACAGGCCAGATAGGGTGAATGGGCAAAGTGATAGGGACCAATAACCCTCCATATTCCAAGTCTTTGATGTAGCATTACTTTTAGTTTACTATTTTAATAAGGAGAGGTCTATCTGGCAAGAGTATCTGCCACTCCCAGATCAAAGAACTAACATAGGAATTCTGAGTATGCCTTTTCTAACTATGCATTCCAGAACTAGGAAAATATACATAGGCTTGGAGATCAAATGGGCCTACAGTGAGACAGAAGTCCCTACTTTGACTACTGGACCACAGTGGTATTTGGATCTCCAGGAATGAGCATCAGTTTAGACTCAGTTTCTATGAAACCCTGGAAAGTTTGGCTGGTTTCATTTTCCCAGCACACAGTTATTGTGGTAAA